>NC_000004.12:134678956-134981987 GCF_000001405.40 Homo sapiens | reverse complement strand
AATAAGATAATTACTTTAAAAGACACGTATCAGGTAGTGTCTGTTAGTCCCTCAAGATCAGCTTAATATTTTGTTTCTATTATGGTTTCCAGAAAGTGAGATATATATATATATATATATACATATTTTCTTTTCTTTTCTTTTCTTTTTTTAATGAGATGGAGTCTCTCTCTGTCGCCCAGGCTGGAGTGCCCTGGCGCGATCTCGGCCCACTGCAAGCTCCGCCTCCAGGGTTCACGCCATTCTCCTGCCTCAGCCTCCAGAGTAGCTGGGACTACGGGCGCCCGCCACCACGCCCGGCTAAATTTTGTGTTTTTAGTAGAGGCGGGGTTTCACCGTGTTAGCCAGGATGTTCTCGATCTCCTGACCTGGTGATCTGCCCGCATCGGACTCCCAAAGTGCTGGGATTACAGGCGTGAAGTGAGCTATATTTTTATGTTGAGTTCCCTTGTCTTTGGGTAAAATTCGGATTCAGTTAATAAGGCATATTAGCAAGAAATTGGAGGGTGAGATATGAAAGGATCTGGTTATTTATTCTCCCGTCTTCCTCCCTTTGGGTTCACTGTGGGCTTCACTTACTCTTTGTGTGAGAAAAATGATTAGCCATTCATACAGCTTTCTCTCTCTTTGAGTTCCAGATACTATTTTTTCTTCAACCTTTTAGGCCTGGATATAGAAATGATACTCTACTGTATCTAGTCCTTTCCTATACACAATAGTCCTATTAACTCTTCTTAAATTATCCAGTCTAGTCATCCTACATTTCTTGTAATAATTCTGACAAGCTTTGTTTTTTCTTCTCTTCATTAATTTGTTTAAATATTGAACATTTTATGCATGTGAGTTGGGCATTTCTTAAATATAGATCCTAGGGTTATTATAATCTAGAACAAAAAACCATTATAATAACAATAATAAAACCATTAATAATAATAACATTAAATAAGACTCAGATATGTGCCAGTCACTCTTATAAGAGCTTTATTAGCCCAAATTCCCTGTTTCATGGATGTTAAACCCAAATCAGGGAAATATTTTATAACTACCCAAGGTCTCACAGTAAGCGATGAAATAAATGTATGCATGTATAGAGAAAAAGAAGAAGTAATCAGGACAAATGATATCTAACATAAAATAAAACGACTTCATATTTTACATGGATTTATGTTCTGATAATTCAGCCATTTATGTAAAAATTTTGTAACTCTTTAAACAAAACTCAAAATCTGAAGGTAAGTACCTTAAGTAAAGTTCTTTAAGTACTTTAAGAACTTTAAGTAAAGTTCAGATTTTTCTCAATACACCATTTTCCATTGTAAATACATTCTTCTTCATTGAACTTATAATATACACATTTATTTCCAATACAATAATATATAGCCTCCAAAAGCTCTCATTATCTCAAAGTAAATGTCTGCTGAGACTCATTTTTAGCTGTAGAAATGCTTCCCACCTGAGAAATACTGATTAAATCTATTGCAATTTTGCAAAATAAAGATTGTATTTCTCAATGTTTACCTCTGACTAGTTAGACATTCATCAGACAAATATTTTTAAGAGACATATTCTAGAAGTCCTTAGCCATATGAAATTAATACGATTTGGTATCTCTTTATCTCTATCTCAAGATTGTTCCCTCATCTTCCCCTTCACCCAAGGGAAAGACTATAGATCCACAGAACCTCTTTGCTGCCTATGCTGGACAGTATGTGGTTAACTCAGCACAACCTCTAGTCTCTTCCCATGTCTTCCAGAATGACTTTTTTCAATAAGACTCCAGGTTAGAGTTTGCCAGTGAGGTCCGAGTATATGAGATTTGAAAAACTGAAATGAAGTGAAAGTCTTTATTCTAAGGAGGTTGAAGTGGTGATCAGATTTAATGAATTCTCAGACTCAATTGAAGTGGCTCTAGTTTCCTGAAAAAAAAATTCAGACACTGACAATGTTACCAGAAATCATTTCAGGGTTGGGAATAAGGTTGGGGTTAAGATGCCACTTAAGGCTGACATTTGAAATGAGCTCTCTGATTTGATCAGCTTTAAAGTTATTAATGACCTCACTGCAATTCTTCGCACAAAAATAAACAGCTATTTTAAACCGCCGAGTTCTTCTCATAAGGATTACTTATGTGTCACTTGCTCTGCTTTGTACTATTTAACGAACTTTTATACTGTCCCCATAGATAGGATAGAGATCAGCACAAAGTTAAAGAAAAAAAAAAAAAGTCCTGTGTATGTTGTTCAGGAGCCATGGGGCAGAGGATACCTCACTAACACATGCATTATCACTTGGTTAGTAGCTGCCTTGCCAAAGGAATTATAACATTTATCTTGAGATGCTACAATGTGAAACATAGAAACAGAGAAAGCCAAAAGTCAAGGATCCATAAAAGTAGAAGCCAGACTAAGCAAAAGTTTTGGACAGAAGAAAGAAATGGTATGTAGTGGTTGAAGGAATAGGAAAAAAATAAATGTCAAGAAAAATTGAAACCACATTAAGCTGATTCATTACGCAAGGAAATTCAAGGCCAAATGGATACCTACTAATGAGGGAATGGCTGAACATTCCAATTGATATATTAGAACTGCTGTTGATCTACAATAGTTACTTTGTGTTGTAGATAGCCTAATTCTCCATAAAACCTGCTGGGAGTTGTGTATTTTCTTTAGTTCCTCAAGTATCTCTAAAATGAACACATATAATGCTGGATGCTCTAAGTATTCTACTATTTTATTCGAGCTAAAAATTTAAATAACAGACAATTCACCTTTTCACTGAATTCATATGCATACTTAAAACCATTAGAAAATTAAAGAAGCAGAAAAAATGATTACACTTGAATTTTTATCACGCTCAAATGTGTTCCATAAGTTTACATTAAATTTAGACTCATAGCAAGTTAAACAATATGATTAGCATCAGTGCTATTATTTCTGCTCTAATCCTACTCACTTTCCCGACTCACTTCATGGATGTCACTTCACTGCTGTATGCAGGAGATTGGAAAAGAGAAGCAAAGTCTACTATTTGTAATTAAAACTTGTCTAGAGAGTAAACAGTTTCACCTGTGTTATGAACCTACACAGAAATATAATGCTTTTATTTGATTTAGGGTTAGCAAAAGTACTTGATGGGAAAAAAGTACCGATTTATCCATTTATATCTTGCCATTTTTATAAAATATAGAAGAATTAAAAAGAAATATTGTGATACTTATTAATACATGTTAGTGAGAAAAATTTTCATATATTTCACTCCTAATTTATTTCTAGATCAGAAAAGGAAGACAGTAGTACTATGCAAATATATAATTTTAGCCACTGGAGGTAGAAAATAATATAATTTTAACCTATAAGAGAAAGGGTTAGAAAATATTTATTACATGTATTTATTATTCTTTCATTTATCAATTTAGTAAATAAATAGCATATGTCCAAGACAAAACTAGAGCCAGAGATATGATAGCACATAAACTATCTACCTTCATGAAGATTATATTCAAGTGGAAGAGATAGCAAATATCAAGGAATCCAATATAATAGCATGTCAGGTATAAGTTTGAAGAAGGAAAATAAAGGTGGTAAAAGTAGACATTTATGAAGTGACATTTAAGCTGACACCCGAAGTGAGGGAGCTAGGTATGCAGCTACCTAGGGAAAGCGGACAATTTTTCATATTACTGTCTAATTTCAATAAAATTTGCATCCAAAAGGTCACATCCAAATAGAGGGTTGACTAGGAAGAGACAAAGAGAGATGGGTATTCACGGGTTAGACTTAGTTCACATAGTCTAGTAATTTCTAAAGGGTTAGGTTCAAACATTTGGTATACACAGATAACGGTAAAAACTTGGCATAGACCAAATGTCATTCCATTTATAATCTTTTACCTGATGGTAATAAATATAAATACTTCATCATCTTTTATATACTGTAGCCATTTATTACTCATACAATTCCTTCATTAGGACTATAAAAACCTGGGGGGGTAAAGTTTTTCTTTGTTTTTGATCTCATAAAACTCAACAAGTGACATATTCTAAGTGCAGTGCTTATTACATGTAGCAGAAATGAACTAAGTGCTTCCTGAAAACATAAATAAATGATTTTAAAAATGCTCACCTGTATAAATTTCAGAAGATCTCATCAGTATAATAATGTCTTCATCATTATTTATTCTCTTATTGTTATTAAATGTAAATCATTTAATTATTTGAGTATTTATTAAAAAGAAATTACATTAATGCATGACTGCACTCGTACTAATAGAAGAAACTGAAATATCAAAGTTTTAGCAGAATAGATATGTAGTACTCACTTTTTGTAAGCCTCCTTGGATCTTTGGGTTCAACACATAATGCTGCAGTTCAGCAATCAGGATGAAGGAGGCTGCTCCATCCATTTAGCTATAGCATCTGGAATTTATGACATCCTTAGCCTGTGTATCAGGAAAAAGATACATATTGAAAATTGCACACATCACTCCAACTTCTATATCATTGAACATAGCAAGTGATATAGCTATTCTTAACTGCAGATGGGTGTATAACTGGAAGAAGAAAGGACCAGATATGAGTGAACAAATGAGGTTTATACCAAAATAGGTTTGTTATTTTGTGAAGAAGAATGGGAGAGTTAATACTGGATTCATTTTGCAGATTAAGATGCTAATTATAAATAGCAATAAAAGATGTTTTATGTGTACAACCATAAATCATGTAAGAATTGTTCAAATTGGCAGCTCCATAATTTATATTTTTTTTAGTTGTAACACATGGAATGAAAACAAGCTAGCCATATAAATGTATTTAATGAAATACAGGCAACATAACTGTTAAAAAATGTTTTGGGCACTACAGATCATGTACAGATATTGATGGAGTCTTTAATATGTAGTTTGTGGAATAATACTGAAAGTAAGAATAACATTAAAATCCACAGTTCAGAGACGATTTTACAAAATCATTCACTATCTGGCCCTCACTAAATAGCTTCATTTTCTTTTTACCATTTTTTACATTAAAGTAAACTTTCTAGTCATGAAAAACTACTTGCAATTTGCAGAATATGAATCTGTTTTTCAAAAGCCTTCATAGTTTTTCATAATCCCTCTTTCGGAATAATGCTGTTGTAATTCTTTATATGGTTCACTCTAATTTATCCTTTATTTTTTTTTAGAAACAGGGCCTCACTCCATTGCCCAAGGTGGAGTGCATTGACACGACCATAGATCACTGCAGCTTCAGGTTCCTGGGCTCAAGAGATCCTCCTGCCCCAGACCCTCAGGTAGCTACAAGTACAGGCATGCCACAAATGCTTGGTTAATTTTTGGAATTTTTCATGTTTGGTAGAGAGAGTCTTGCTATGTTGCCTAGACTGGTCTTGAAATTCTGGGCTCAAGTGACTCTACCACCTCTTAGTCTCCCAAAGTGATGAAATTACAAGCGCGAGCTACCACACCCAGCCTTATTCTTCCTTTAAACCTAAACTCAGTCATCCAGAAAGTCTTCTCTAACCTGAAAGGTTTATTTATTCACACTTTTTCCTCATACTGTGGAATTTTGCTTGTGTTTTTCTCTACTATAGAATGTTGATATTCTATTTTAATTTTATGTTAACCTTCCATTGACCTCAACAGACTGTTGACTCCTTGAGAACTAATGCCTTTTTTATTTACCATTTTATCCCCAGTTAATACCACAGTTTGTGACCTATGAGAAAATTAATGTGATGGATGAATATTATTATCATCTGCCAAAACACATGGACCTCCCGGCCCCAATTTGATTCTGAAGTGAAGTCTGATGATCCCACATACACACACACACACACACACACACACACACACACCCCACACAGTATCACAGTATGAAAAGTTTTAATATTCCTATAATTGGGATATTTGGCACACAAGGCCAGTCCTCTCTCAGGGAAGTCCAAAATGGCTTGAAAGTGCCTGGAAAAGAGTGGGTCTGGGTTTTTATTGTGGTTAGTGGTGGGGCCAGGATGAGGTTTCACAGAGGAGGGGGCATGAAACGTTAACTCTCACCTGCACCAAAGGAAGGAGTATGAAGGCCTTTTTATCAGCTTGACCAGATGTGGGGCACACAGGGAAGAAGGGAAAGTGAGATTTTAAAGCTTTATTAGTTACATATCAAAAAATTGAAGTCAGACACCACATACAAATAGTGATTGTAAAACCTTGGCAATACAGACTAGAAAACTGATTTTCTACTTGTCACCAGATACAAAAGGCACTAAAATGAAAACCAAAATATTTTATCTGTCCATAATGTTGTTTCTATTTTGAGCTTGAATTTCGAGGCTAAAACATAATATAGGAGGTTATTTTTAGTCTTTTGTTTTAATATAATTTAAAATAACTTCATAAAATGTGGTTATATAATGATAATATAGCTTAAATCATTATTATATTTAGCATTCCAGTTATGTAACATATAGTATTTCTAGTTTATGGAGAAATCTGAAATTTATAAAGGACCATTAAGATAATTTAGATTCAATTACATACTTATATTTAATATTGTTGTCTGCTAAATTATTCTTGTTACCTATTAATATTCTTATTTATCCATACTAAAATAACAGCTATAAAAATCTATTCTTTGAACTATAAACTATCCATTATTACTTTTCTCTTTTGTGTTAATAGGGCTAAGGGCTTTATCAGATGGGTACCCATTTATCTAGGAATCTATACTTTATTGTTTTCTATCCATCACCTCAAGCATTTATCATTTTTTGTTACAAATGTTCCAATTATACACTTTTAGTTTTTAAAAAATCTATAATAAGTTATTGTTGACTGTAATCAGCCTGCTTTGCTATCAAATACTAGATCTTATTCATTCTATATATTATTGTGCCCATTAATCATTCCCATTTCCCCCATCATCCAACTACCTTTCTCAGCCTCTAGTAACCATCATTCTACTCTCAATTTCCATAAGTTCAATTGTTTTAATTTTTAGGTCCCACAAATGACTGAGAACACACAAAGACTGTCTGTCTTACTGTATCTGGCTTATTTTATGTAACATAATATCCTACAGTTCCATCTATGTTCTTGGAAATGACAGAATCTTATTCTTTTATACAGCTGAATAGTATTCATTGTGTATATGTACCACATTTTCTTTAACCATTTATCTTTAGTAGACACTTAGGTTGCTCTCAAATCTGAGCTATTGTGAATAGTGCTTCAGTGAACATAGAACTGCAGATATCTCTTGCACATACCAATTCCCTTTTTTGGGAGGTGTATACCTAGCAATGGTATTGATGGATCATAAAATAATACTATTTCTAGGTTTTTCCATGCTGTTCTCCACAGTGGTTGTACTAATTTACATTCCCACCAACAGTGCACGGAGGTTCCATTTTCTCCACATCCTCATCATCATTTGTTATTGCCTGTCTTTTGGATGAAAGCCATTTTAACTTGTGTGTGATACATCCTTAATTAATTATTTTTATTAATAATTTATTTAATTATTAATTTATTTGGGTATTCTCTCTTTTTTTCCTAGTCTGGCTAAAGGTCTTTCAATTTTGTTTATCTTTAAAAAAAAAACCTTTTCATTTCATTGATCTTCCTTTTTTTTAAATTTTAATTTCATTTATTTCTGCTCTGATCTATATTATTTCTTTTCTACTAATTTTAGGTTTGGTTTCCTCCATTTTTTTCTAGTTCTTTAAGATACATTTTTAGGTTGGTTATTTGAAGGTTTTTTACATTTTTATATAGGCATTTATTGCTATAAACTTTTCTCTTAGTACTGCCTTTGCTGTATATCATGGGTTTTGGTATGTTGTATTTCAATTATCATTTGTTTCAAGAAACTTTTTAAGTGCTTCTTAATTCCTTCATTGACCTACTGGTCAATCAGAAGCATATTGTTGAATTACCTTGTGTTTGTATAGCTTCCAAAGTTCCTCTTGTTATTGATTTCTAGTTTTATTTCATTGTGATCATAGAAGACACTTGTTATAGTTTCATTTTTTTGAATGTTTTAAGACTTGCTATGTGGCTTAAATTATGGCCTATCCTTGAGATGAAGAGAAGAAAGTATATTTTGTAGTTATTGGATGAAATGTTATGTCAATATCTATTAGGTTTATTTGGTCCACAGTAAAGATTAAGTGCAATGATTTTTGTTGTTGTCGTTGTTGTTATTGGTTTTCTATCTCAAAGATCTGTCTAATGCTGAAAGTGGGGTGTTGAAGTCTCCAGCTGACGTTGTACTGGTTTTCATACGTCTGTTTAGCTCTAATAATATTTGTTTTATATATCTGTGTGTTCCATTGTTGAGTGCATATATATATTTACAATTGTTATATTCTCTTGCTGAATTGTTTCATTTATTATTATATAATGACCTTCTTTGTCTCTTCTTATAGTGTTTATATTGAATTATATCTGATAATTATATCATATCAGTATAGCTACTCCTGCTGTTTTAGGTTTCCATTTGCAGGTAATATATTTTTCCATGTATTTAATTTTAGTCTATGTGTGTCTTTATAGGTGAAGTGTGTTTCTTATAAACCCAGGTCATTGGGTCTTGTTTTTTAATTCATTCAGCCACTCTATGTCTTTAAATTGGCAAGTTTATTCTATTTACATTTGATGTTCTTATACATAAGTAAGAATTCATTACTGTCATTTTATTATTTGTTTTCTGGTTGTTTTGTGGTCTTATTTTCCTTTCTTCCTCCTTTCCTCTCCTTTTTTCCAAGGTAATTTTCTCTGGTGGTATATTTTAATTTCTTGTTTTTATTTTTGTCTATCTGGTGTAGGATTTTTTTTTATTATACTTTAAGTTCCAGGGTACATGTGCACAGCGTGCAGGTTTGTGACATACATATACATGTGCTATGTTGGTGTGCTGCACCCATTAACTTGTCATTTACATTAGGTATATCTCCTAATGCTATCCCTCCCCCCTCCCCCCACCCCATGACAGGCCCCAGTGTGTGATGTTCCCCTTCTGGCGTCCAAGTGTTCTCATTGTTCAGTTCCCACCTATGAGTGAGAACATGTGGTGTTTGTTTTTTTGTCCTTGCAAGAGTTTGCTGAGAATGATGGTTTCCAGCTTCATCCATGTCCCTACAAAGGATATGAACTCATCCTTTTTTATGGTTGCATAGTATTCCATGGTGTATATGTGCCACATTTTCTTAATCCAGTCTATCATTGATGGACATTTCGGTTGGTTCCAAGTCTTTGCTATTGTGAATAGTGCCCCAATAAACATACATGTGCATGTGTCTTTATAGAAGCATGATTTATAATCCTTTGGGTATATACCCAGTAATGGGATGGCTGGGTCAAATGGTATTTCTAGTTCTAGATCCTTGAGGAATCGCCACACTGTCTTCCACAATGGTTGAACTAGTTTACAGTCCCACCAACAGTGTAAAAGTTTTCCTATTTCTCCACATCCTCTCCAGCACCTGTTGTTTCCTGACTTTTAATGATGGCCATTCTACTGGTGTGAGATGGTATCTCATTGTGGTTTTGATTTGCATTTCTCTGATGTCCAGTGATGATGAACATTTTTTCATGTGTTTGTTGGCTGCATAAATGTCTTCTTTTGAGAAGTGTCTGTTCATATCCTTCACCCAGTTTTTGATGGGGTTGTTTGTTTTTTCTTGTAAGTTTGTTTGAGTTCTTTGTAGATTCTGGATATTAGCCCTTCGTCAGATGAGTAGATTGCAAAACTTCTCTCCCAATCTAAAGGTTGCTTGTTCACTCTGATGGTAGTTTCTTCTGCTGTGCAGAAGCTCTTTAGTTTAATTAGATCTCATTTGTCAATTTTGGCTTTTGTTGCCATTGCTTTTGGTGTTTTAGACATGAAGTCCTTGCCCATGCCTATGACCTGAACAGTATTGCCTAGGTTTACTTCTAGGGTTTTTATGGTTTTAGGTATAACATTTAAGTCTTTAATCCATCTTGAATTAATTTTTGTATAAGGTGTAAGGAAGGGATCCAGTTTCAGCTTTCTACATATGGCTAGCCAGTTTTCCCAGCACCTTTTATTAAATAGGGAATCCTTTCCCCATTTCTTGTTTTTGTCAAGTTTATCAAAGATCAGATGATTGTAGATGTGTGGCATTATTTCTGAGGGCTCTGTTCTGTTCCATTGGTCTATATCTCTGTTTTGGTACCAGTACCATGCTGTTTTTGTTACTGTAGCCTTGTAGTATAGTTTGAAGTCAGGTAGCGTGATGCCTCCAGCTTTGTTCTTTTGGCTTAGGATTGTCTTGGCAATGCAGGCTCTTTTTTGGTTCCATATGAACTTTAAAGTTGTTTTTTCCAATTCTGTGAAGAAAGTCATTGGTAGATTGATGGGGATGGTATTGAATGTATAAATTACCTTGGGTAGTATGGCCATGTTCATGATATTGATTCTTCCTATCCATGAGCATGGAATGTTCTTTCATTTGTTTGTGTCCTCTTTTATTTCGTTGAGAAGTGGTTTGTAGTTCTCCTTGAAGAGGTCCTTCACATCCCTTGTAAGTTGGATTCCTAGGTATTTTATTCTCTTTGAAGCAATTGTGAATGGGAGTTCACTCATGATTTGGCTCTCTGTTTGTCTGTTATTGGTGTATAAGAATGCTTGTGATTTTTGCCCATTGATTTTGTATCCTGAGACTTTGCTGAAGTTGCTTATCAGCTTAAGGAGATTTTGGGCTGAGACGATGGGGTTTTCTAAATATACAATCATGTCGTCTGCAAACAGGGACAATTTGACTTCCTCTTTTCCGAATTGAATACCCTTTATTTATCTCTCCTGCCTGATTGCCCTGACCAGAACTTCCAACACTATGTTGAGTAGGAGTGATGAGAGAGGGCATCCCTGTCTTGTGCCAGTTTTCAAAGGGAATGCTTCCAGTTTTTTCCCATTCAGTATGCTATTGGCTGTGGGTTTGTCATAAGTAGCTCTTATTATTTTGAGATATGTCCCATCAATACCTAATTTTTTGAGTTTTTATCATGAAGGGCTGTTGAAATTTGTCAAAGGCCTTTTCTGCATCTATTGAGAAAACCATGTGTTTTTTGTCTTTGGTTCTGTTTATATGCTGGATTACGTTTATTGATTTGTGTATGTTGAACCAGCCTTGCATCCCAGGGATGAAGCCCACTTGATTATGGTGGATAAGCTTTTTAATGTGCTGCTGGACTCAGTTTGCCAGTATTTTATTGAGGATTTTTGCATCAATGTTCATCAGGGATATTGGTCTAAAATCCTCTTTTTGGTTGTGTCTCTGCCAGGCTTTGGTATCAGAATGATGTTGGCCTCATAAAATGAGTTAAGGAGGATTCCCTCTTTTTCTATTGATTGGAATAGTTTCAGAAGGAATGGTACCAGCTCTTCCTTGTACCTCTGGTAGAATTTGGCTGTGAATCTGTTTGGTCCTGGAGTTTTTTTGGTTGGTAGACTATTAATTATTGCCTTAATTTCAGAGCCTGTTATTCGTCTACTCAGGGATTCAACTTCTTCCTGGTTTAGTCTTGGGAGTGTGTATGTGTCCAGGAATTTATCCATTTCTTCCAGATTTTCTAGTTTATTTGCATAGAGGTGTTTATATTCTCTGATGGTAGTTTGTATTTCTGTGGGATTGGTGGTGATATCCCCTTTATCATTTTTTATTGCGTCTATTTGATTCTTCTCTCTTTTCTTCTTTATTAGTCTTGCTAGCGGTCTATCAATTTTGTTGATCTTTTCAAAAAACCAGCTCCTGGTTTCATTGATTTTTGAAGGGTTTTTTGTGTCTCTTATCTCCTTCAGTTCTGCTCTAATCTTAGTTATTTCTTGCCTTCTGCTAGCTTTTGAATGTGTTTCCTCTTGTTTCTCTAGTTCTTTTAATTGTGATGTTAGGGTGTGAATTTTAGATCTTTCCTGCTTTCTCTTGTGGGCATTTAGTGCTGTAAATTTCCCTCTACATTCTGCTTTAAATGTGACCCAGAGATTCTGGAATGCTATATCTTTGTTCTCATTGGTTTCAAAGAACATCTTCATTTCTGCCTTCATTTCATTATGTACCCAGTAGTCATTCAGGAGCAGGTTGTTCAGTTTCCATGTAGATGAGCGGTTTTGAGTGAGTCTATTAATCCTGAGTTCTCGTTTGATTGCACTGTGGTCTGAGAGACTGTTTGTTATAATTTCTGTTCTTTTACAGTTGCTGAGGATTGCTTTACTTCAAACTATGTGGTCAATTTTGGAATAAGTACGATGTGTTGCTGAGAAGAATGTATATTCTGTTGATTTGGGGTGAAGAGTTCTGTAGATGTCTATTAGGTCCGCTTGGTGCAGAGCTGAGTTCAATTCCTGGATATCGTTTTTAACTTTCTGTCTTGTTGATCTGTCTAATGTTGACAGTGGGTTGTTAAAGTCTCCCATTATTATTGTGTGGGAGTCTAAGTCTCTCTGTAGGTCTCTAAGGCTTGCTTTATGAATCTGGGTGCTCCTGTATTGGGTATATATATATTTAGGATCGTTAGCTCTTCTTGTTGATTTGATCCCTTTACCATTATGTAATGGCCTTCTTTGTCTCTTTTGATCTTTGTTGGTTTAAAGTCTGTTTTATCAGAGACTAGGATTGCAACCCCTGCCTTTTTTTGTTTTCCATTTGCTTGGTAGATCTTCTTCCATCCCTTTATTTTGAGCCTATGTGTCTCTGCACATGAGATGGGTCTCCTGAATACAGCACAATGATGGGTCTTGACTCTTTATCTACAAGAGCTCCTGAAGGAAGCACTAAACATGCAGAGGAAGAACTGGTATCAGCCATTGCAAAAACATGCCAAATTGTAAAGGCCATCGATGGTAGGAAGAAACTGCATCAACTAATGAGCAAAATAATCAGCTAACATCATAATGATAGGATCAAATTCATACATAACAATATTAACGTTAAATGTAAATGGGCTAAATGCTCCAATTAAAAGACACAGACTAGCAAATTGGATAAAGAGTCAAGACCCATCAGTGGTGTAGGATTTTTAATTTGAGGTTACCCTGAGGTTTGCAAATAATATATTATAACCAATTGTTTTAAAGTGATGACAACTTTTAACACTGATTGCAAAGGCAAAAGAGAAAAAGTAATAAAATCCTACACTTTAACTTCACCCCTTTGTTTTAAAACTTTTTTGTTGTTTCTGTTTATATTTTATTGTACTCTTTATGTCTTGAAAATTTGTTGTAGTTATTGTTTTTGATCAGTTTATCTTTTAGTCATTCTACTCAAGATATAACTAATTAACTCAGCACAATTCAAGTGTTATAATATTCTGTGTTTTTCCATGTACCTACTCTTACCAGTGAGTTTTGTACATTCTGATGATTCTTCATGCTCATTGACATCTTTTTCTTTCAGATTGAAGAAACCCCTTTACCTTTTCTTGTAGAATAGGACTGGTGTTGAGGGTGTTTTCTGATTTTTTTTTCCTTCAGCACTTTAAGTATGTCATGCCATTCTCTTCTGATGTGTAAGGTTTCCACTGAGACATGTACTGCCAGACATATTAGATCTCCATTGCATGTTATTTGTTTCTTTTTCCTCTTACTGCTTTTAGGATCCTTTCCTTATCCTTGACCTCTGGGAGTTTCATTATTAAATGTCTTCAGCTTTTCCTATTTGCGTTAACTCTGCCTGGTGTTCTATAACCTTCTTGTACTTGAATATTGATATCTTTCTCTAGGTTTGGAAAGTTCTCTGTTGTTATGCATTTGAATACACTTCCTACCCTGATCTCTCTCAACCTCCTTTTTAAGGCCACTAACTCTTAGATTTGCCCTTTGAAACTATTTTCTAGATCTTGTAAGCATACTTCATCCATTTTTATTCTTTTTTCTTTTGCTTCCTATGACTGTACATTTTCAAGTAATCTGTTTTCAGGCTCACTATTTCTTTCTTCTGCTTGATAAATTCTTCTGTTTACAGACTTTGATGCATTCTTCAATAAGTCCATTTAATTTTTTTGCTCCAGAATTTCTGTGTGATTTCTAAAAAATATTTCAATCTCTTTTATCAAGTTTTTCTGATTGTATTCTGTATTTCTTCTCTGTTCTATCTTGAATTTTGTTGAGCTTCCTCAAAACAGCTATCTTGAATTCTGTATCTGAAAGGTCACATATCTATGTCATTCCAGGACTGGTCACTGGCGCCTTATTTAGTTCATTTTGTGAAGTCATGTTTTCTTGAATGGTCTTGATTCTTATGGATGTTCATCAATGTTGGCATTGAAGAGTAAGATATTTATTGCAGTCTTCACAGTTGGGCTTATTTGTATCCATCCTTTTGTGGGAGGTTTTTTTCTGGTATTTAAAGGAATTTGGGTATTGTGACCTATGTTTTTGGTCACTGCAGCTATATCTGCATTAGAGAGGGTACCCCAATCCCAGTAATATTATGGCTCTTGCAGACTCATAAAGTATTGCCTTAGTAATCTTGGGTAAGAACCAAGAGCATTTCCTGTATTACCAGGCAGAGACTCTTGTTCTTATTCTTACTTTCCCCCAAACAAATGGAGTCTCTCTCTCTCTCTCCATTTTGAACTGTCTAGAGCTGGGGAAGTGGTGACACAAGTACCTCTGTGGACACCACTACTGAGATTGCGCAGAGTCAGACCTAAAGCCAGCACAGCAGTGGGTCTTGCACAAGGGCCACAACATCTACTGCCTGGCTACCTTCAGTGATCACTCAAGGCCCAAAGTCTCTTCAGTCAGTTGGTAACAAATCCAGCCAGGCTTGTGTCTTTCTTTTCAGGGAGGCAAGCTTTCCCCAAGCCTAAAGCATGTCCAGAAATGGTTTCTGAGAGCCAGGGCCTCAAGTCACGAATCTCAGGAGTCTACTTGATGCTCTATTCTATGACTGAGCTAGCACCTGAGCCACAAGACAACTTTCTTCCCACTCTTCTTTCACCTTTCATCAAGCAGACTCTTCTTTCTCCTTTCATCAAGGAGAAGGAGTATTTCCCTATGGCCACTACCACCCCAGGACCATGGCAAGTACTGCCTGGCTAACACCAATATCCACCCAAGGCACAAGGTCTCCACAGATAGCATATGGTAAATGCTACCAAACTTGAGTCTCTCCCTTCAGGGCTACGGGCTTCCCTTTGGCCCAGGGTGAGTCCATAAATGCCAGACAGGAGCCACAGTCTGGAATCAGGATCCCCAGTAGCCCACTTGGTGCTCTACTTCACTGTAGCTGAGCTGGTTGGTACCCAAGCTGCAAGACAAAGTCGCCTTTATTCTTCCTTCTCCTTCCTCAGCCAGGAGTCTCTTCTCATGGCCACCATGACTAAGAATGTGCTATGTCTCACTTGAAGCCAGTACGGAACTGGTTCTCACCCAACTCCCACAGCAAGTACTGCCTGGCTACCACTGTTACTTATTCAAGCCCCAAGGGGTCTTTTGTCAGCAGGTGATGAATCCTGTCAGAATTTATTTCTTCCCTTCAAGACACCAGGTTCCCTTCTGGTCCAGGGTGCGTCTACAGATTTTGTTCAAGAGCTAGGGCCTAGAGCAGGGACCTCAGGACTCTTCCAGATTCTGCATTTTACTATACCTGAGCTGGTATTCAAGTTGCAAGACACAGTTCTATTTATTTTCCTCTCTACTCTCCTCAAGCAGAAGGAAGGGGTCTCACAGCTGTGAGATATGCTGCCTTGATTTTTGGAGAGGGGTGATGCAAGCACTCCCCTTGGCCACCCCAGCTGCTTTCTCACTAGGTTATCTGCACCCCAAGTCCACGAGCTTGAAGCCTAGTACAGCACCAGAACTTGTCCAGGTTGCAGTCCTTATGGCCCGGACTGCCTTTCAAGTATATTTAGAAGCCTAAAACACTTTTGCTTATGGTGTTGGGGCTAGCCAGAACTCAAATTCTGACACCTGGGATGAATGATTCCTCTGTGGTTAGGGCCGGTCTAAATGGCCCCTCAGTGGATGATGGCTGAATTCTGCCCTTTGTTGCATTCTGCAGTGGCCAGCAGCACTGAGTTTCAATACAAGGTCCCATAATCACTCTTTATTCCCTTCCCCAAGCACACAGATTCTCTCTCTGCACCATGAGGCTGCAGACATGGCATGAGGGAGGGGAGGTGTTTGCAATTCAAGACTGCCTTTCCTACCCTCTTCAGTGACTCTTTCCTTTACATAATGTTAAAGCCAGGTACTGTGATCACTCACTTGATTTTTGGATCTTATGGAGGTGGATAATTGTTTAATTTGGTGCTCACGTGAGGGTGGGGGTTCAATTTGGCAATCTTGCTCCACCTCCCTCTACCTACTTTATTTTCAAAGTCATTAATATTTTAAAACTCATCTTCACGAAACATAATTCTCCAGAGATATTTGTAGTTGTTCTGGTGGGGATATAAATAAGTGTAGCTACTTTGTGTAACATTTTATGAAAATATCTATATTTAAAAGTTGTATAAAAACTTTATGATAAAAATTATTTAAGAAGCTGGAAGTTTATTCAGGAGAAATAAAAGAATGATGTCTCAAAATTAATTTGTTTAGAGAAAATAATCAAATCTTTTCTCATTTCTTCTATAATTACTAAAAAGCAGAGATTATACTGGTCTTAAATTTCTTAAATTTTAAAGTTTCAATGTCTTTAATAAAATAAGTGAATAAGTAATAACTTAGTAATGGGTGAAAGAATTAAATAAATGAGATATGTTATATATTTAGAGATTAAGAGATTTTCTATCTCCATGACAAACTTCATCTCAAGTATATGGTTCATTTCCTTTCATATATATGTAATAAAGTAGCTATCTTCTGAATCATATGCTGTAATACAATTTCACCATGAAAAAGGATAAGAAAACCAAAACAAAAGAAGATAATGGAAAGGAGAGCAACCTCTACATAAACTTGTTAGAATTGCCATAATATGCATAATATGCAATGCGCTTTTAATATCATGCATAATAAACATGATAAAAATGATTACAATAAGAGAGTATCCTGATCATTTTGTAATTTAATAGTTTTTAATAAAATGTGGCACATGCGCTTTTTATATATTTACTGATGACATTGCTTTTATAGAGAAACTCTTCTGTCTGTGAAATTTAGCATGCATTCTCTGTGAAAATCTAGCAATAGATACACATAACTCCTCTACAGTTCACTCCTAGGTATGTCTACTGCTAACCCTTCATCCTAAAAGCTAGAGTATGTTTTTCCTATTTGTCTCCTATTAACAAAGGGACTTCCTTTGTAAAACATAGTTTGCCAATTCATGCCTGCCTCTTGAGTTATCAATCATCACTCTTGCTATGTTCTCCCTATTGTATCCCTGTCCGCACACCTAACTCTCCACGGTCACTGAATTTGAAAACACTACCTGCATTTGACACAAACCTTGATCCTTTCTGCCATGGACTTAAAGTCGACTCACTTTGTGAGACTGGGACTAGCAGCTTTATGGAGGTTCCCAGTTTCTGGACCTCGCTCCAACTCATTGTTCTACCTGTTACCTTAAGTCTTTGCCTTTACATTGGCATGCTTGAAGATTTCTCTTTGGATAAGGTAGAAATCTTACCAAGTGTTATGCCTCAGATGTCTCCACTGTCCCTAATTCCAAAATAATGTGTATATTCAACATGTTATTGTCTGATTGACTACTTTATGTGATTCTATTTGCATGGTTTAAAAAGTGCGTGTTTTTTTCTTTCAAATAAAAACTAGTTTGATAAGATAAGTAGTATAACAAATTTTAACCAAAAGATCATCCAGTGAAGATTTACTCTCCCTCTTTTCTTTCACTTTTATTTAGAATGATATTGAGTCATACTTTCAGTTTTAGTCTCATTTATACTTAATACAAAAATAATTTTCAATTATTCACGTGTTTTCTAACTTGATCTCCACAGCATCCATATGAGGTAGGTAGTTTGCATAGTTTTGTCCTTAGTTTTCAGAAATATGAGGCTTGGATTTTAAAGTATTTTCCTCAGTAGTGCACACCCATCAAGAGGCAGAGGTGATATTAAATCTCTTTTCTTTCTTTAGTTCTCTATTGGATTTTGATTTCATATCACATTTGATTTTAGGATCTTAAATGTTAAATACACTAGTTATCTTATGGGAAAAAGTAGAGCTGGCAACTTAATGCAAGACCAAATATTACCAAGTAACTTCCAAAGATGATCACTGAGTTAGGGTATTTTCTCATTTACAATACTAATTACATGCCTATTTGCACGCAGAGGTAATCGAGGCTTAGAGTGCTTGTAACTTCCCCATGATCAGACAGCAATAAATAACAAACCTGAGATTCAAGTTCAGATTAACTATTTAAAAATAACCTGCTCTTTCTACTATGTCATTATTCTTCAGTATTTAACTCAAATTGATTAAAAAATACTAAACTCTTACATAAAACATAAAGCTAATATTCTTGTTATATTAGTCCATTCTCACACTGCTATATAGAATACCCAAGACTGGGTAGTCTATAAAGGAAAGAGGTTAAATTGACTCACAGTTCCACATGGCTGGGGAGGACTCAGGAAACTTACAATCATGGTGGAAAGGGAAACAGGCACATATTATGTGGCCGCAGGTAAGAAAGAGTTCATTTATCATTGTGCACATGTACCCTAGAACTTAAAGTATAATAATTTAAAAAAAGAAAAAAAAAGAGTGCATTTATAAAACCGTTAGATCACATGAGAATACATTCACTATCATGAGAATAGCATAGGGGAAACCACCCCCATAATTCAAACACTTCTTTCCCTGGAAACAGGATTATAGTTTCCTCCCTCGACTTGTGGGGATTACAATTAGAAATGAGGTTTGATTGGAGACAAAGGGCCAAACCATATCATTCTTCCCCTGCCCCCACCCCCACAAATCTTATGTCCTTTATACACTTCAAAACCAATCATGCTTTCCCAACAATCACACAAAGTCTTAACTCATTTCAGCATTAGCTTAAAAGTCAAAGTCCAAAGTCTCTTCTAAGACAAGTCAAGTTCCTTCCGTCTATGAGCCTGTAAAACCAAAGGCAAGTTAGTTACTTCCAAGATACAGTTGAGTTACAGGCATTGGGTACATGTTTCCATTCCAAATGAGAGAAATTGGCCAAAACAAAGAGGCTACAGGCCCCATGCAAGTCTGAAATCCAATAGGGTAGTTATTAAATCTTAAAGCTCCAAAATGATCTCCTTTAACTTTATGTCTCACATCCAGGTCATGCTGATGCAAGAGGTGGGCTCCCATAGCCTTGGGCAACTCCACACCTGTGGCTTTGCAGGACACAGTCCCCCTCCGGGCTGCTTTCACAGGCTGGTGTTGAGTGTCTGTGGCTTTTTCAGGTGTACAGAGCAAGCTGTCTGTGAATCTACCATTCTGGGGTCTGGAGGATGGTGGCCCTCATCTCATAGCTCCACTAAACAGTGCCCCAATGGGGACTATGAGTGGGGGTTCCAACCTCACATTTTCCTTTCACATTGCCTAGCAGAAGTTCTCTATGAGGGCTCTGCCCCTGCAGCAAACTTCTGCCTAGAGATTCAGGCATTTCTATACATCCTCTGAAATCTAGGTGGAGGTTCCCAAACCTTAATTCTTGACTTCTGTGTATCCACAGGCCCAACATCACATGAAAGCCACCAAGGTGTGTCCTGCACCCTCAGTGCAGCCACAGTGCAAGCTGTACCTTGGCCCCTTTTAGCCAAGACTGGAGCTGAATAACCCGGGAAACAGGGCCCCATGTTCAGAAGGCTGCACACAACAGTCGAGCCCTGGGGCTTGCCTATGAAATCATTTTCCCTCCCAGGCCTCCAGGCCTGTGATGGGAGGGATTGCAACCAAGGTCTCTGACGTGCCCTGGAGACATTTTCCCTATTATCTTGGCAATTAGCATTTGGCTCCTTGTTACTTATGCAAATTTCTGCAGCTGGCTTGAATTTCTTCCCAGAGAATGGGTTTTGTTTTTCTATTGCATTTGTCAGGCTCCAAGTTTTTCAAACTTTTACCCTCTGTCACTTCTAGAACACTTTGCTGCTTGGAAATTTCTTCTCAGATACCCTAAATCAGCTCTCAGGCTCAAAGTTCCACATATCTCTAGGGCAGGAGTAAAATGCCGCCAGTCTCTTTGCTAAAGCATAGCAAGAATGATGTTTACTCCAGTTCCCAATAAGTTCCTCATCTCCATCTGAGACCACCTCAGCCTAGACTTCATTGTCCACATCATTATCAGCATTTTGATCAAAATCATTCAACAAGCCTCTAGGAAGTTCCAAACTTCCCCACATCTTCCTTTCTTCTTTTGAGCCCTCCAAACTGTTCCAACTTCTGCCTATTTCCCAGCTCCAAAGTCACTTCCACATTGTTGGGTATCTTGATAGCAGTGCCCTACTCTCTGTGATACCAATTTACTGTATTAATCCGTTCTTACACTGCTATAAAGAAATACCCAAGGCTAGTCATTATAAAGGAAAGAGGTTTAATTGAGTCACAGCTCCACATGGCTTGGGAGGCCTCGGGAAACTTATAATCCTGGTGAAAGGGGAAGCAGGCATGTCTTACATGGCAGCAGGCAAGAGAGAGTGCATGTGTGTCATTGCAGGAAAAACTATTATTTATAAAACCATCAGGTATCATGAGAATTCACTCACTATCACAAGAACAGTGTCATAATCCAATCACTTCCCTCCCTTGACACATGGGAATTACAGGTCCCTCCCTCAACCAACGGGGATTACAATTCAAGATGAGATTTGGGTGGGGATACAGAGCCAAACCACATCACCTATTATCACAAAGATATTTCTACATAGTTAGATTTAGCTAAGTTTATCTAATTTTATTTTTCTATTTATCGGACAGATTATATCAGCAATTAAGCTATCTTTTAGACTACTCTAAAATATTTAAATACAATTTGAATATAGTTTATTTTGCTCATAAGTTATTTGCAATAAATACTACACAATCTGAAGTTATCACACTGCTATATTACCTTTATTCATTTATTCCAATGACGTTTGAGAGTTTAATATTCACCATATAATTGGCTCTAAAGTCACCATTTGATTAAAGTTTAGTGCATTGTACTAAAGTTGCAGCCATTGGCTCTAAAGTCATAATCATTTCAACTAGATAGGGGAATGGTAACATTAAAATTCAGTGAAGGATAGAATAAAATGACAAAACCACAGGAAAGGCAGGCTACTCAAATGGAGGTGGATGGGTTGGGAGTGACTGGGGCAACAGTACCAGGTTTAAATGAAGATAGAGTAGTAAACATATACCAAAGCTCTGATGATGATAGAGTCCATCTAAATAGGAAAGGTACACTATCCCTAAAGGAAGGTAAAAACATTTAAAGTATTTCTCTTTGTCAACTTCTCACTTGTTTTTCTTTTTCCTATTTAATTACAACAAATTAATTATATTCCTGCATAGTAATTAGATCAGGGCTTTCTACATTTTTTGTTGTTGGTAGTGAAATTTTCAGAACCTATTTCTCAAATTTGTTAAGGATGTTCATATTTATTGACATCAGCCCTCTTAATAATATTTATTTTAAAAATAAATGTATGTATTTGAATATAATTTTTCTATCTTCTGATGTTATATAAGGATAACTATATTTTTATGGAACTGTTTTTTTGAAGCCAATATTCCAGTTTCTCTCAATTCTGAAAAACTCTATTAAAAAAGAAGAAAATTATTATTCATTATCCTCAATAGTGAAATGCTAAATCTTTTGTATGTTTTCTTTAGCATTATTGTTCTTTAGAAAGATTGAGGACTTGTAGTTTGTCAAATTTTTTAACAAAATATGTAACGTCTACAAAGACATCACTGCTTCTAATAGAAGAATAAAGAAAAAACACAGCTAAGATGCTCAGTCTCTACTAATATGCAACTTTTGGCATTATTTTATGAGTAAATACCAGTTAGAGTCAAATAATTTTTATATTGGTAGAGTTGTGTATTGTAGAACAGTATTTTAACTATAATAGCTACAGTTATTTCTTTCTATATTTGAAATATTATGTATATGTGTGGGTGGGTATGTATATGTGTTTAAAGAATATAATGTAGGGTAGAGAGAGTGGGGACTTGGATTTTGCTAGACTAAAAAGAAGCTCTACAAAGACTAAAGTAAATATCTCCCTGCTTTACCATTTACCTTGTTTTGATTTAGCTAAAATCAAATCATTTTATTTCCATTCCGGTTTTGTTTCAACACTTGCAAACATCCCCGCCAGTAAGCTTTAAATAGATGGTAAACTTTAAATAGACTGTGTTACCCTTTATTACCCAAGAGATCCTGACTGTCTTCTATGCATTTTCTTTGGTCAATGCTTATTTATTATCTTCTTGCCTAGTTGTTTAGAGCATTCTGCAATTCAGCCAATCTTATTTAATAAAGCTGCACAGATTCTTCAGTACCATAAGTCAAGTGAATATTTACCTGTTACATACACACATAAGACACACACAACTGTACGTAAGTAAATATAAAATAGCGGGTAAATAAATATATTTAATTAAAGAGCATACATTCATGTACAAATCACTTAAATAATAAGTAAGCACCTCAGTAGGAAAGATGTTATTTGAAAGTATTTACATTTTGAAATTATTCATGTATGATATACAAAAAAGTCACTAGAGGATAAATTTCTAATTAACATCCATATATACTTTTCTAGCCAGGTTTTAAATTGCAGAGTAACATGTATTAGGGCAAGTTTTAGGAATGAAATGGCACTAGGATATAGCTTATAGTTTCTTGGCTTCTCTCATCCATTTCTATACAATGCTAGCTAAACCAAGCAGTTTAAGAATATAGAGGATCATTCACAAATTGTGGCAGGTATTCAACCTGCAAATTTCAGAGCTGTCAGGCTTGAGCGTTTCAATCAATTTTGACATCTCCTGGCATTTCCTTTCATATTCTAGCTTCTATAAATACTATCCTTTCTTAGCTGCCATTTTAGGTTCACAGGCTTGTTTCTCCCCCTAACATAAAGAAAGATTATATTTTAACTATTAGCAGGCCTTTTATTTTCTGCCCTTACTCTGGAAAAAAAAGAAAAAAAATGGTATAATAAATAAACTACCTGATCCTCAAATGCTGTATTGAAAATAAGTGTATTCATAGCTGATGCATTAAAAACGACATATTACATAGCACTTGCAAAAAGAGACATTTCTTAGGAAAATTGTAAAATGTTAAGAACTTTACCATAAAATCCACAATAAGGTAGCATACCAATTATTTGAAAGAAATGCTTTCTGAAGATTCCCAATAATTATTGGGAAAGATCAGAAAGATTCCCATGTTTACAAATACCCTGGAATAACAATTGAAATACGGATATTATTACATTTCTTGTTAACCAAATAACTCTATTTTGAAAAAACTAGTTCCATCTAGGTTCCAACTCTATCTTGATTTAACTTCCTAGTATAACAAGGGCTACCTTATAAAGTGCTTTCACTGTAAAAATGTCATAAACCAAAAGTCCTATGAATCTTGAAAAAATAATTTTTAGAATTTTTCAAGTTCTCCTTTAATCACTATTTTAATTTGGTATGTTTTCCTAAGTAGAAATTAAATAAGGCAATGTAACATGTATCATTCCTGGTAAAGTTAGAATGTTTCAGCTAAAGACTTTGGTCATCTTTTATTGAAAGGTCTTTAAAGGAAAAACATGATCCAGAAAAGCTGTATTTTCCAGAATCATAAAAAGCCTTAGTGGCAGAGCCAGAAAAATAAACACAGAACTACTCAATAGCAGTTCAATATATCCTCTGTATGACTCCATTTTTATGCCAAAGATAGGAAACCTCAAGTGTTTAACCCTGAAACTTAAACTGGCACCTAAAGGGCTTGTATTCTTCCATGGCCAGGGAAACAACTGAGGAATTCCGCTACTATGTAACTGGTGTTTTCATAATCTGGTAGAGATAATTTTAGGTGACTATACACATTTGTGTGAGTGGTTTGTTGTAATATTTTTTCTTTTTTTCAGTATGAATTTTTTCCAGTATGAATTTTTTCCTTTTACATTGTGAAGAGAAGTACTAAACAGAGAGCTTGAGGAGTCTTTTTACTTCTTTTTGAAAATCATAGTCATGTTTGTGACTTCTTTTCTTCTCATACTCAAATTTCAATCATTTATGAAAACTGAAGCTTGCTTCCTTCCTAAGTTCCCTTATATATTTTTTAAATTCCTGTAATTTCATCCTTATTCAGGCCCTTAGCACCTGCACACACTGTACTAAATAGCACTCCAATGGTCTTTTTTGAGTTTTTCTCTTACCTTGGCTATCCTGCCCAATTCCTGTCTTAAGAGCAAAATTTTATTTTATTTTATTTTTTATTTGTTTTTAATTAAATGTTCTTTGTTCTTTTACTCATTAATTTATTCTATTCAGTAAGTTTTTTATGTTTTTATTTGCTTATTTTATTTTCACATTATTTTATTTATTTATTGACCTACTTATTTCTGAGACAGTTTCTCTCTCTGTCACCTAGACTGGAGTGCAGTGGCATGACCTTGGCTCACTGCAACCTCCACCTCCCAGGCTCAAGCAATCCTTCCATTTCAGCCTCGTGAATAGCTGAGACTACAGGCATGCACCACCATGCCTGACTAATATATTTTTTTCTTTATATTTTTCGTAGAGGCTGGGTTTCGCCATATTGCGCAGGCTCATCTCAAACTCCTGCCCTCCAGCGATTGGCCCATCTCAGGCTCCCAAAGGGCTAGGACTACAGATTTGAGGCACTGGCCCCTGCCTATTTTTATTCTTATTTCGATAGATTTCAGAAAGCATGTGGTACATGGTTGCATGGAAAAGTTCTTTAGTGGTGATTTCTGAGATTCTGGCGCACCTATCGCCCTAGCAGTGTACACTGTATCCAATTTGTAGTCTTTTAGCCCTCACAACCCCACCATTTCCCCCCGAGTCCCCAAAGTTCACTATATCATTCTTATGCCTTTGTATCCTCATAGCTTAGTTCCCACTTATAAGTAAGAACACACAATGTTTGGTTTTCCATTCCTGGGTTACTTCACTTAGAATAATGGTCTGCAGCTCCATCCAAGCTGCTGTGAATGTCATTATTTTATTCCTTTTAATGGCTGAGTAGTATTCTGAGATATATATATATCTATATATAGGATATATCTATATATAGATATATATATATCTGAGATATATATATATCTATATATAGATATATCCTATATATAGATATATATATCTGAGATATATTTCTATATATATCTATATATAGTATATCCATATATAGTATATCTATATATAGATATATATTTTATATATATCTATATATAGATATATATTTTATATATATCTATATATTGTATATCCATATATAGTATATCTATATATAGATATGTATTCTATATATATCTATATATAGTATATATCTATATATCTATATATAGTATATATATCTATATATCTATATATAGTATATATATCTATATACTATATATAGATATATATCTATATATCTATATATAGATATATATCTATATATCTATATATAGTATATATAGATATATATCTATATATAGTATGTCTATATATAGTATAGTAGATATATATATCTATATATAGTATATATAGAATATAGATATATACATATATACACACCACATTTTCTTTACTCATTGGCTGATTGGCATTTATGCTGGTTCCATGTTTTTGCAATTGTGAATTGTGCCGCTATAAACAAGCATTTGCAAGTATCTTCTTTGTATAATGACTTATTTTTCTTTGGGTAGATATCCAGTAGTGGGATTTTTTTGATCAAACAGTAGTTCTGCTCTTAATTCTTTAATGGATCTTCATACTGTTTTCCATAATGGTTGTACTAGTTTACATTCCCACCAACAGTGTAAAAGTGTTCCTTTTTTAACCACATCTACACCAACATCTGTTATTTTTTAATTTTTTAAATGTGGCCATTCTTGAAAGAGTAAGGTGGTATCACATTGTGGTTTTGATTTGCATTTCCCTGATCATTAGTGATGTTGAGGATTATTTCATATGTTTGTTGGCCATTTGTATATCTTCTTTTGAGAAGTGTCTATTAATTTCCTTTGTCCACTTTTTGATGGAATTATCATTATTATTACTATTGTTTTGCTTATTTGTTTGAGTTCCTTGTAGATTCTAGATATTAGTCTTTTGTTGGATGCATAGTTTGTGAAGATTTTCTCCCATTCTGTGGGTTGTCTGTTTACTCTGATGATTATTTCTTTTGCTATGGAGATGCTTTTTTATTTAATTTGGTCCCATCTATTTATCTTTGTTTTTGTTACATTTGCTTTCAGGTTCTTGGTTATGAGCTCTTTGCCTAAGCTAATGTCTATAAGAGTTTTTCCAATGTTATCTCCTAGAATATTTATAATTTCGGGTCTTAGATTTTAGTCTTTGATTCATCTCGAGTTGATTTTTGTATAAGTTGAGAGATGAGGCTCCAGCTTTATTCTTCTAGGTGTGGCTTGCCAATTATCCCAGCATCATTTGTTGAATGTGGTATCTTTTCCCCACTTTATGTTTTTGTTTGCCTTGTCAAAGGTCAGTTGGCTGTAAGTATTTGGCTTTACTTCTGGCTTCTGTATTCTGTCCCATTAGTCTATGTGCCCATTTTTATACCAGTTCCCATGCTGTTTTGCTGACTATGGCTTTATAGTATAGTTCAAAATTGGGTAAACTGGTGCCTCCAGATTTGTTCTTTTTGTTTAGTCTTCCTTTGGTTATGCAGCCTCCTTTTTTGTTCCATATGAATTTTAGGATTTTTTTTTCTTGTTCTGTGAAAAATGATGATGGTATTTTGATGAGAGTTGCA
This sequence comes from Homo sapiens, assembly GCF_000001405.40. Taxonomy (NCBI): domain Eukaryota; kingdom Metazoa; phylum Chordata; class Mammalia; order Primates; family Hominidae; genus Homo; species Homo sapiens. The sequence continues at coordinate 134,955,084 of NC_000004.12, read as the reverse complement.
CGGAATTTATAGATTGCTTTTGGAAGTATGGTCATTTTCACAATATTGATTCTACTCATTCATGATCATGAATTTAAAAATTCTTTAAACTGAACAACATTAGTGACAAAGCATATCAAAGCCTATGAGACACAGCAAAAGTGGCGCTAAGAGGAAAGTTCATAGCATTCAACGCCTACATCAAAAAGTCCAAAAGGGCAGAAATAGACAATCTAAGGTCACACCTCAAGGAACTAGAGAAGCAATAACAAACCAAACTCATGCCTAGCAGAATAAAAGAAAGAATAAAGATGAGAACTGAAGTAAATGAAATCGGAACAAAAAAAATACAAAAGATAAAACAAAAAGCCTGTTCTCTGAAAAAAAAGATTGATAGACTATTAGTCAGATTACCCAAAAAAAGAAGTGAGAAGATCCAAATAAGCTCAATTAGAAATGAAATAAGAGATTTACAACTGATACCACAGAAATACAAAAGATTTCTCAAGGCTACTATGAACAATTTTATGCATATGAACTAGAAAATCTAGAGGAGATGGATAAATTCCTGGAAATATACAATCCACCTAGATTAAATCAGGAAGAAAAAGAAACTCTGCACAGATCAATAACAAGTAGCAAGATTGAAACAGTAATAGAAAAATTGCCAATAAAAAAAGTCTAGGACCAGATCAGTTCATAGCTGAATTCTATCAGGCATTCAAAGAAGAATTGACCACCAGTCTTACTGAAATTATTTCAAAAGATAGAGAAAGAGGAAGTCCTCCTTAAATCATTCTACGAAGCCAGTATCACCCTAATACCAAAATCAAGAAAGGACATAACATTAAAAGAAAGCTACAGGACAATATCATAGATGAACGTCGACTCAAAAATACTTAAAAAAAACTAGCTAACTGAATTCAAAAAGAAAATTCACCATGATCAAGTGGGTTTCATACCAGGAACTCAGGGATGGTTTAACATCTGCAAGTCAATAAATGTAGTATATCACACAAACAGAATTAAAAACAAAAATCATATGATCATCCCAATGATATAGAAAAAGCATTTGACAAAATCCAGCATCTCTTGATGACTAAAACCCTCAACAAAATCAGCATACAAGAGACATACATCAAGGTAATAAAAGCCATCTATGGCAAACCTACAGCTAACATTATACTGAACAGGGAAGAATTGAAAGCATTCCCCCTGAAAACTGGAACAAGACAAGGATGCCCACTTTCACCACTTCTATTTAACGTAGTACCAGAAGTGCTAGCCAGAGCAATCAGACAGAAGAAAGAAATAAAGGGCATCCAGATCAGTAAAGAGGAAGTCAAACTGTTGCTAGTCACCAATGATATGATGATATCCCTAAAAAACCCCAAAGACTCCTCCAAAATGCTCCTAGATCTGATAAATGAATTCAGTATAGTTACAGGATACAAAACAGTGTACACAAATCAACAGCACTGCTATTGATATTAACCAACAGCCAACAACAACCAAGATGAAAATCACATCAAAAACCCAACCCCTTTTACAACAGTTGCAAAAAATGAAACAAAATTATTTGGTATATACCTAACCAAGGAGGTGAAAGATCTCCACGAAGAAAACTATAAAACGCTGCTGAAAGAAATCATAGACTACACAAACAATTTGAACACATCCTATCTTCTTTAAAAAAAAAACAAACAGTAAAGTCATGAACCCTTCAATCTTCCTTATATTTGATTACAGGTATGTTTACTCTCCATGTTTACTCTCCATGTTTACTTGTCAAAGTAGATGTAATGAAAGTGTTTTTTTAGGAGACATTACATGTGAAAACCAGTATCTAGTTCCCCTCTCCTTGCTGGGCATACTTCTTAGCGTTCTGGAAGTCATTGGGCAATCAAGATATGCGTTCTGGCCAATGAATTGTGAGTACAACTTGAGTGTGTATCTTCAGAATCAAGGGAATAAAATTGGGCTCTCCAGGACAATTCTCTGTCACCATATTCTGTAGCCCACTTGTTGAAAATGATGTGGCGGATGACGCCGGTGCGGGGGGCGGGGGCGCGTAGGCTCTGGTGGCCCTGGGATGGGCAACCGCGGTGGCTTCCGCGGAGGTTTCGGTAGTGGCATCTGGGACCGTGGTCGTGGCCGTGGACAGGGCCGGGCCGAGGCTGAGGAGCTCGCAGAGGCAAGGCGAGGATAGGGAGTGGATGCCCGTCACCAATCTGGGCCGCTTGGTCAAGGACATGAAGATCAAGTCCCTGGAGGAGATCTCTTTCTTCTCCCTGCCCCATTAAGGAATCTGAAATCATTGACTTTTTCCTGGGGGCCTCTCTCGAGGACGAGGTTTTGAAGATAATGCCGGTGCAGAAGCAGACCCATGCTGGCCAGCGCACAGGTTCAAGGCGTTTGTTGCTATTGGGGACTACAATGGCCACGTAGGCCTGGGTGTTAAGTGCTCCAAGGAGGTGGCCACCGCCATCCGTGGGGCTATCATCCTGCCCAAGCTCTCCATTGTCCCCGTGCACAGAGGCTACTGGGGGAACAAGACTGGCAAGCCCCACACCGTCCCTTGCAAGGTGACAGGCCTCTGTGGCTCTGTGCTGGCGCGCCTCATCCCTTAACCCAGGGGCACTGGCATCGTCTCCGCATCTGTGCCCAAGAAGCTGCTCATGATGGCTGGTACTGATGACTGCTACACCTCAGCCCGGGGCTGCACTGCCACCCTGGGCAACTTCGCCAAGGCCACCTTGATGCCATCTCTAAGACCTACAGCTACCTGACCCCCGACCTCTGGAAGGAGACTATATTTACCAAGTCTCCCTATCAGGAATTCACTGACCACCTCGTCAAGACCCACACCAGAGTCTCCGTGCAGCGGACTCAGGCTCCAGCTGTGGCTACAACACAGGGTTTTTATACAAGAAAAATAAAGTGAGTTAAGCCTGAAAAAAAAAAAAAAAAGAAAATGATGGGACTTAGAGATAGATATCACATCAATCATTGAACTGTCCTAATGATTCACCTAGGTATGAGCAGATTTTGGGTAAGTGAAAAAGAAAACTTAATTGTGTTAAATATGGCAGCATAAGCTAATCAATCCTGAGCAATATATTCATTATAGAAATATACTCTGTGTAATGTATAAATTATCTTATTTCCCTAAATCTACAGATGAATATCTGTAGATACTGTTTTAACTAGTGTTTTAAAATGTAAGTCTTAATTGGTAAAGAGTTATTACTTCAGTTATAGCAAGTTTCAATTTCAATTATGCATATTTCTAGTGGGCTGGTACATTTCTTCAGTGTTTTGTTTATACACACCAAAATGAACAGTAATTTTTGAGCTAAATATTAAGTTTATTTCTATCCTTGATATATAGACAGCACAAACATTTAATATTTGTGTTACACATATATACTATAACTTTATTAATGACTATGTCTATATTTTATTTATATTTTGGTTTTGGAGAGGTTATTTTTCAATTTTATAAGTTTTTTTCTTTGTTCTGTCTTTGATTTTCAACTTTTAGCTCAAATCCTAAATTTTCTCTCAAAATTTTCTAACTGCCTTCTCTGCTATTTGCTTATTTTTGCATATGCGATAATTTGGACATTACTTTTTTTTCTTACTTATAGTCATTTATTCCTCTCTCTTTTCCCATTACACTGTGAACTCCAAATGCAAAGAACTATGCAGAATACCAGCCAAAATTTTCTTTAATAGTTGAGTATCTGTTTTGATTAGTCAGTGCTCACGATATATTAAGCACCTTGGTTATATGTCATATTTATTTCAGAATTTCTGAAGGACTTGAAATGTACTGTACTTAGACATGGTACTAAAAATATTTGTTTAAGGATTAAATGAATCAATAGAATGTTTATTTGGAGATATGACAAAGAGGCTGGTTTGAATATTTGATGTTAAATAATTATTTCCATTGAAAGCTAAGATTCAATTCAGCTGGAGAATTATGAGGTTACTACTTAGATCTCTTTCTTTTAGCAAGAACTGAAGTGAAGAATGTACAACTGGTGACAAGGGAAAACCCCGACTTTAATTTTGTTAAAAAATAAAACTAAACAAAGGAAAATATTTTTGGAGTCTTTATTCTAATGCTCAATGGCCTCACTTATTTTGAAAATAGTCTCATCAATTAATCTAGTAATGTAACACAGTGGCTATAGAGTAGTTCGTAATCTGCCAAGAAATATAGCAAGATTAATGGGCCTAAAAATTCAGATAAATCAAGTGTCTACTAAGACACTGATCTTTTCTTCTCATTAAAGAAGTATTTGAATCATAATACCACAATGTTACAATGTTACGATAAGAAAGGCTTAATGAGATTGGTAGGTGAGTTAACTCACCAGTTGGTGAGTTATTTTCTTTCTTGCAACAGATTTAAAGGAATTCATTTTTTATATGCAAAAGGTAGTAATGATTTCCAATTGCTCGCCAAATGAACACTAAACATGTACTTTGACATACAAAATTTAAATAGATTTTATTCTGTAGAGGACTTTTAGGATTGCAGACCAATTGAGTGGAAAGTATAGAGAATTACCGTATACTTAGTATCTTCACATGTTTACAACCTCCTCCCTATCAATATCCTGCACTAGAGTGGTAAATTAGTCACAATTACTGAACCTACACAGCCAAAGTTCATAGTTTTGACATTAGGTTCATTCTTGATGTTATGGATTTTATGGGTGTTCCCTTACCCTTTGAAAACACTGATCTTTTTTATGTCTCCATAGTTTTGCCTTTTCTAGCATGTCATATTTTGAACTAATATAGTACGTAGCCTTCTCCCATTGGCTTTCTTAATTTAGCAATGTGCATTAAAGTTTCCTCCATGTCTTTTTATGGCTTGATAAGTCATTTCTTTTCAGTACTTAATAATATTCTAAAGTATTCATTTTCAACAGTTTATTTATCAATTCACCTACTGAATTAAATTCTTACTATATTGACAATTAGGAATAAAGCTACATATATGTCTATGTGCAGATTTTTGTGTGAATATAAATTTTTGACTCATTTGAATAAATTCCACGGAGTGTCATGGCTGAATAGTATGGCCAGAGTATATTTAGTTTTGTAAGAAACTGACAAGTTGGCTTCCAAGGATGCTGTAACATTTTTTATTCCCACCAGCAATGAATGAGAATTCTTGTTGCCCCACATCATCACCAGCTTTTTTCAGTGCTTTAATTTCAACCATTTAAATAAGTGTTTAGTGGTATTTCATTGTTGCTTTAATTTTCAATACCCTAAGGACATGATGTGGAGCTTGTTTTCATATGTTTATTTGCCATCTGTTTATATTCCTTGATGAGGTGCCTGTTGAGATCTTCTGGCCATTTTTAATCAAGTATTATTGTTATTGTTGAGTTTTAAGTGAGTTTTTAAAATATATTTTGGGTAACAGTTGTTTATCAGATATGTCTTTTTCAAATATTTTTTCCAGTCTGGCATATATTCTCATTCTCTTCACAATGTCTTTTGAAGAGCAGAGTTTTAAATTTTAATAAAGTTCAGCTTATTAATTATTTATTTCAAAAAACATGGCTTTGGTATTATCTCTATATATCATCAGCAAAACCAAAGGAATTCAGATATTTAAAAATATTATCTCCTAGGAATTTCATAGTTTTGCATTTCCTATTTATGTCTATAATTTATTTTTAGTTAATTTTTGTAAACAGTGTATTAATCCTTTTTGTTTAACCTGAATGTTCAATTATTCCAGTGCCATTTGTTGAAAAGACTGTCTTTTCTCCATTGCATTACTTTTGCTTCTTTGTCAAAGATCAACTAACTATATTTGAGTCAACTTCTGGGCTTACTATTCTGTTTAATTGATTTATTTACCTATTCTTCTGGAAATATCACACTATTTTGATGCAGTAGCTCTATAGAAAGCCTTGAAGTCAGATAGTGTCAGTCTTCTGATTTTTTTTCTATTTCTATATTGAGTTAGCTATTCTGGGGTCTTTGGCCTCTCCATATGAATTTTCTAATTAAGTTGTCAATATTCACAAAAAGACTTACTGGAATTTTGATTAGGAATGTATTGATCAACTTAGGAAAAACTGACATCTTGACAATATTGAGTCTTCCTATCTATGGACCTAGAATATCTCCCCATTTATTTGGTTCTTCCTTGTAACGTTCATCAGAATTGTATAATTCTCCTAATATACATATTATATATATATAGTTAAATTTATATCTAAGTATTTCATTTCTGGAGGTGCAAATGAAAATGATAAGTTTATATCATTTATTTATTTTATGGTTTTTTGTTTCGAATTCGACTTATTGTGTGTGTCTGTAGAAAAGCAGTTGACTTCTGTATATTAACTTTACATCCTATTGAGAGGTGACAATGTGCTAGCAACCCTCGCTCGCTCTCGGTGCCTCCTTGGCCTCGGCATCCACTCTGGCCACGCTTGGGGAGCCCTTTAGCCCACTGCTGCACTGTGGGAGCCCCTCCCTGGGCTGGCTGAGGCCAGAGCCAGCTCCCTCTGCTTGCGGGGAGGGGTGGAGGGAGAGACGCCAGCAGGAACCAGGGCTGCATGCGGCACTCACAGGCCAGGGTGAGTTCCAGGTGGGCGCAGGTTCTGCGGCCCCGCACTAGGAACAGCCAGCTGGCATCACCGGCCCAGGGCAGTGAGGGGCTTAGCACCCAGGCCAGCAGCTGTGGAGGGTACACCAGGTCCCCCAGCACTGCTGGCCCACCCTTGCCATGCTCGAATTCTCACCAGGCCTCAGCTGCCTCCCTGCAGGGCAGGGCTTGGGACCTGCAGCCTGCCACGCCTGAGCCCCACTCCCCACTGGTGGGCTCCCACGCCGCCGGAGCCTCCCCGACAGGCGCCACCCCCTGCTCTGTGGCACCCGGTCCCATCGACCGCCCAAAGGGTGAGGAGTGCAGGCACGCAGCGCGAGACTGGTGGGCAGCTCCACCCGCTGCCCTGGTGCAGGATCCACTAGGCAAAGCCAGCTGGGCTCCTGAATCAGGTAGGGTCTTGGAGAACTTTTATGTCTAGCTGGAGGATTGTAAATGCACCAATCAGCACTCTGTGTCTAGCTCAGGGTTTGTGGATGCACCAGTCAGCACTCTGTATCTAGCTAATCTGGTGGGGACTTGGAGAACTTTTATGTCTAGTTAGAAGATTGTAAATGCACCAATCAGCACTCTGTGTCTAGCTAAAGGTTTGCAAATGCACCAATCAGTGTTCTGTGTCTAGCTAATCTAGTGGGGACTTGGAGAACTTTTATGTCTAGCTAGAGGATTGTAAATGCACCAATCAGCACTCTGTGTCTAGCTAAAGGTTTGTAAATGCACCAATCAGCACTCTGTGTCTTGCTAATCAGGTAGGGGACTTGGAGAACTTTTGTGTCTAGCTAAAGGATTGTAAATGCACCAATCAGCGCTCAGTGTCTAGCTAAAGGTTTGTAAATGCACCAATCAGCGCTCTGTCAAAATGGACCAATCAGCAGGATGTGGGTGGGGCCAGATAAGGGAGTAAAAGCAGGCCTCCTGATCCAGCAGTGGCAACCCACTCAGATCCGCTTTCATGCTGTGGAAGCTTTGTTCTTTTGCTGTTGCAATAAGTCTTGCTGCTTATCACTCTTTGGGTCCGTGCCTCCTTTATGAGCCGTAACACTCACCACAAAGGTCTGCAGCTTCACTCCTGAGGCCAGCAAGACCACAAACCCACTGGAAGGTACAAACAACTCCAGACACACCACTTTTAAGAGCTGTAACACTCACTACGAAGGTCTGCAGCTTCGCTTCTGAAGTCAGCAAGACCACGAACCCACCAGAAGGAAGAAACTCTGGACACATCTGAACATTTGAAGGAAAAAACTTGGGACACACCATCTTTAAGAACTGTAACACTCACTGCGAGGGTCCGCAGCTTCATTCTTGAAGTCAGCAAGACCAAGAACCCACCAATTCCGGACACACTATAACCTTGCTGTAACTGCTTAATATTTCCAGGAGTTTGTGGATTCTTTCAGATTTTCCATATAGTTGATCATATTATCTGTGAACAAAGACAGTTTTATATTTTCCTTTCCATTCTATGTACTTTATTGCATTAGGAAGGATTTGTAGTATGATGTGATAAAGAATGGCGGGAGGGGTTATCCTTTCATTGTTCTAGATTGCTGTGGTTTGAATGTCCCCTCCAAAACTCATGTTGAAACTTGGTCCACAGTATGGCAGTGTTGAGAAGTGGGGCCCTTAATAGGAGATTGGATCATGAGGGTTCTGCACCTATGAATGAATTAATACATTCATGAATTAATAGATAGATTACTGGATTAGTGGCTTGTAATGGGAGGGGAACTAGTGACTTTATAAGAAGAGGAAGAGAGAGCTGAGCTAGCACATTAGTATGCTAAGCCCTCTCACCATGTGATACTCTGTACCACCTGGAGATTCTGTAGAAAGTTCCCACCAGCAAGAAGACTTTCACCTGATGTAGTCCCTTGACATTGTACTTCTCAGCTTTCAGAACTGTAAGAAAGGAATTCCTTTTCTTATAAATTACACAAATTCAGGTATTCTATTCAAAATAACAGAAAATGGACTAAACATTGATATTACAGGTAAGCTTCAAGTTTCTCACCATTATGGATAGTGTTAGCTATAGATTATTTGTACATGTTATTTATCCAGTTGTGGGAGTTCCCCTCTATTCCTAGTTTGCTGAGAGTTTTTATCATGAATAGGTGTTAAATTTTCTCAAATGTTATTTCTGCATCTACTGATGTGATCATGTAGTTTTTTTTCTTTAGCCTGTTAATGTGTTGGATTATATAAATTGAATTTTGAATGTTGAACTAGTCATGCATACTTGAAATAAATCTCATGTGGTCATAATGTATAATTATTTTGATACTTTTTTGATTAATTTGTTAATATTTTGATGAGGATTTTGCCATCTATGTTTACAAGAGATGTTGGTTTTTAGATTTTTTTGGTAATATATTTGTCTGGTTTTGGTGTTAGGATGGTGTTGGTTACATAGCAATAGAATGAATTATGAAGTTTTCCTTCTGCTTCTATCTTCTGGAAAATATTTTATAATTTCTCACTTAAGTGTTTGGTAGAATTCACCAGTGAAATTATCTAGATCTCGTGATTTCTTTTTGGAATGTTATTAAGTGTTGACTTAATTTCTTTAATAGATATAGGCCTATTCAGATTGTCTGTTTCATCTTAGGTAGGTTTTAGCAGATTGTTTATTTCCAGAAATTAGGCCGTTTAATCTGTGTTATTAAATTGTGGGGCATGAAGTTGTTTGTAGTATTCCTTTATTACTTATTTAATGTCTATCAGATCTGCAGTAGTGGCACCATTTTCACTTTTGTTATTAATAATTTGTGTTTTCTCTCTTTTTTAAAAGTTAGCCTGTCTAGAGGCTTATCACTTGTACAGATTTTTTTTCAAAAAAAAAAAAAAACAATTTTTATTTTGTAGATTTTCTTTATTGATTTTCTATTTTTGCTTTAATTGATTTTGGCTCTGATTTTTTTCTTTTGCTTTATTTGAATTTAACTTGTTATTTTATTTTGTAGGTTCCTAAGGTGAACATGTAGATAATTTATTTTTTAAAATTTATTTTCTGGTACATGCTACAGTTTTCTTCTAACCACTGCTCACTGAATCTCATACATTTTGTTAGTTGTATTTAATTCAAAACATCTTAAATTTCTGTTGAAATTTCTTCTTCAATCATGTATCATTAAGGAGTATGTATTCTAATCAAGTATTTTGAGAGGTTTTTTCCAGCTATCTTTCTGTTGCTGGTTTCTAGTTTGATTGAGTCATAATCTGAGAGTAGACATTACATGATTTTTACTATTTTAAATTTGTTAAGTTGTCTTTTATGTCCAAAAATGTGGTCTATTTTGGTGGCAATTTCATGTAAGCTTGAGAAGAATGTGTATTCTGCATTGTTGAATGAATTATTCTGTAGATATTCATTATATCCTGTTAACTGATGGTGGTGTTGAGTTAAAGTATGTCCTTACTAATTTTCTGCCTGCTGGATCTATCCATTTTTGATAGAGAAGTGATGATGTCTCCAACTATAGTAATTGATTCATTTATTTCTCCTTGCAGTCCTATCAGCTTTTGCTTCATGTATTTTGGCATTCTGTGAGATGCATATACCTTAAGAATTGCTATCTTCTTGGAGAGTCAATCTTTTATCATTTTGTAATGCCTCTTTTTATCCCTGATAATTATCCTAGCTCTGAAGTGTGTTTTGTGTGACATTATTATAGTGGATAGAGATACTTGATTTTTTATCTGTGTTAGTATGGCATATTTTCACCATCCCTTCACTTTCAATCTATATGTGTCTTCATATTTAGAGTTGATTTTCTTTTTTTCTTTTTTCTTTTTCTTTTTCTTTTCTTTCTCTTTTTATTTTGCAGAACATAGGAAGTTTATTGTGTCGTTAAGACACTACAATGCAGACTCCTCTTCCAGAGAAAGCTCTTCCAGGGACAGGGAACCATCATCCGGATGTGTTGCTCATTTGTCATTTTCATGGGCAGCTGGATTCTTCCCCTTGGATCTCTCAAACTCTTGAGTCCCCCATGTATAGATAAGATAAAACACTACAAACGGCGGCATTACGCGAAGGAAAGACTGCCGAGTGCGGCGCAGCACGTTGGGGATTCCTTTACGGAAGTAGTACGGGGAGGCACGCTGCTCAAAAGGTGACAAGCTGTAGGAGATCACATGTTGCATCTACGTCCGATTCCCAAACTCGCTGCCCATCATGGCGGCGGCCGGGGTCACCTAGCCCTCCGCAGTCACCGATCCGGCGGACTCATTCCTAAAGTTGATTTCTTATAAACAACACATAGTTGAGTCTTGTTTTTTAATTCACCCTGACAATTGCTGTCTTTTAAATTAGTATTATTAGACAATTGATATGTAAAGTACTCACTGATATAGTCACATTAATGTCTATCATGTTTGTCACTGTTTTCTATTTGATGCCCTTGCTCTTTGTTCCTATTTTGTCTTCCCCTCTTTTTCTGCTTTTTGTAGGTTCAATTAAGCATTTTATATGATTCCATTTTCTCTCTTCTTACTGTATCAACTATACTTATTTTTATTTTTATTTTTTTAGTGGTTGCTTTGAAATGCAATTTCAGAAGTAGTGCAAGTACCTTATAATAACAACATACTTCTAATTCCTCCCTCTAATCACACGTAGCATTGTTACCATTCATTTCACTTATACAAAAGCTGTAATCATCAATTACATTATTGTTATTTTTATTTTGAACAAACCATTATCTATTAGATAGGAATAAGAAAACTAAAACTTACAATCTTACTTTCATTTATTCCTTCTCTAATATTATTTCTTCATGCAGTTCCAAGTCTCTGGCCTACATTACTTTTTTTCTCTCTAAAAAACTTCTAACATTTCTTGCAAGGTAGGTCTATTAGCAACAAACCCTGCAATTTTCACCAGTCTGAGAAAGTCTTTAGTTTTCCCTCACTTTTGCATTGTAATTTTACAGGCGAAAGAATTCAAGGTGATGTGGTTTGTGTGTGTGTATGTCTTGCTTTATTTTCTTTTGCCAATACTTTTAATATTTCACTCTACTCTCTTCTTGCTTATATTTTTTTTGAGAAGTTGGATTAATTCTTATATTTTCTACTTTATAGGAGAGGTATTTTTTCTCACTGGATTAACTCAACATTTGATCTTTATCTTTGATTTTCTGCAGTTTAAATATGATATTCCTGGGTGTAGTTTTTTATATTGATACTACTTGGTGTTCTCTGAGCTTCCTGTATGTGTGGATTGGTGTTTGATATTCATTTAGGGAAGTTCTAAGTCATTTTACTACTTCTATTTGTTTTATTTCTTTCTCTCTTTGTTCTCCTTTTATTTTAATTATGTAGATATTACAGCTTTTGTAGTTGTCCCACAGTTCTTGGATATTCTGTTGCATTTTTCTGGTGTGTTTTTCTCCTTGTTTTTTGGTTTGGGACGTTTCTATTGACATATCCTTAAGCTCAGAGATTCTTTCCATAGGCTTGTCCAGTCTACTAATGATCCTCTCAAAGCCATTCTTTATTTTTGTTTCAGTTTTTTATGGTAAGCATTTATTTTCTATGTATTCTTATAATTTCAATTTCTCTGCTTTCATTGTTCATCTGTTCTTTAATGTTGTGTATTTTTTTTCATTACAGCCCTTAGCATATTAACCAAATATGGTTTATATTCATGGTCTGATAATGTCAACATTTCTGTCATAACTGAATCTGATAAATTCAATATTTATGCCACCCCATTGCTCTGTTTCTCAAGTATGCCTTATAATGGTTTTTATTGTTGTTGTTAAACAGCAGATGTGATGCACTGGTAAAGGAAAATGTGGAAAATAGAGTTTTATAACATCATGGTAGAGGGAGCGGAAGCTTTCCGCAGCCCCATGTTTAGATTTTACTCTTTTAGTGAGCCTCTGCTCCTGTGGTGTGAATTTCACAAATGCATCTCAATTTTTTTCTTTCTGCTCTTTATGTGATATAGGATGGTTAGTGGAGGATGGAGTTAGGTACCTCCTTTCCCCCAGATAAGTTAGGCTCTGCTAAAACCCCAGTAGGTTAGGCTCTGGCAAAATAGTTTTTCTCAAGATAAGGTCTTAAGAATAATGGAATGCTGTGGTGTATTTTAAAATTGTTACTTTTCCTTCCCCTGCGAGAAGCCCAAAGAAATTTTTCTCTAATGTTCATCTTGAGAACTTCGTAGAGCTAAAGATAAAACTCAAAAAAATGCAAAAGCCTCACTAAGACTGGGTCCCCTGGAGTTTTTTTTATTTTTTATTTTTATTTTTCATCTTAGACTTGTCTACACTAAGCCTCCAGCATTAATGACAATTCAAGCTTTCCTACCCTGGTACTGGCTCCAACAGGAGTACGTTTCTGCTCTGTTAAGTTGAATTCTCTGTAGCTGCCTCTCTACAAACTCCACAGCAGTTTGTTCTGTGACCTCAGGTCTCTAGTCAATCTAAGAAGAGCAGTTTAGTTTTCAATTTGATCAGATTTTTACTTGTGGTTAGGATGCAGTGATGGCTTCAAAGTTCCTTACATGTTGGATTAGAAACCAGAAGTTCTTGACATGCAGTTTAATTTAAATCTTGCCTCATTCCTACTCCACGCTACTCACCATATCTATTTAGTCCACATCAAAGTTTTTACTCTTCCTCCCTTGATAACAACAGAATATTCCACTCTCCCCACTTTTAGTGCTTGCTGACCTCCCTGCTAGACCTTTACCTCATAATACTCACTCATTCTTGGAGACTTAGAGCTATGTTCCTTTCTCTGGAAAAGTATGCTGTTCGCCCCCCCCGGCCATTACCTAAGAGACTCTTTCATCAGTGTTATCTCACTAAAGTTAGAATCAATGTTTTTATTAATTTGTTTGAAATGTCTATTTAATCGCTTATTCAAATGTATTTGCACCCTATTAGAATAATGATTCAATGTATTTCTTGCTATTGTTTGTCTTTTAAAGCAATTTTTTTTTCACAGTGCCTGGTAGAAACACTAAATTAAATCTTCTTAAAGGTATAAAAAAAGTTACCTAATGTATCCTTCTTTCAAATTAATAAGAAGGAAAGAAAAAGCATTTAGGAAAAAGAATCAAGCACTATCTTATGTTCCCCTTGTTTTCTAAAAGGATTTGCATTTAAAATATGCATGTTTGGGGACAGAGTGAATTAATATTGAGCTTTCTCAGTGTGACTATTCAAATAAAACAACTCGGTCCTTAACTTTGTGCATACCAGGGTACCAATTAATTGGCTTTGATCTATAAAATCTTTTGCATTTTTTTTTTAATTTAATGGTTTAGAAAAGAAGAAAAGCTAACAGCCATGACAGCTTAATGAGATTGGTTGGTATATGGCTACCAACCAATTGGGGAGTTAGAATATTAAAAATATATGTTCCTTTTTGGAAAAACATTTGAAAGAATGTATGTTCTTGATAATACAAACTTTGATCCAATGCATTGTTAAAGATGAAAGCAGCTTTTGTTCTCCCACACCTAGAGATTGTCAGAGTTAAAGATGATGATCAGTTTTTTGGGGGTGCTATAACCAGAGGTAATTACTTTTGTCTTGATCACGACACACTATATGTATTGAAACATCACTTTGTATCCCATAAATATATACAAGTATTATATATCAATTTTAAAAATTAATTTTCTAAAATTATTTATTTTAAATTGAGACATAAAATTGAATGTATTTATCATATGTAACGTGATGTTTTGAAGTACCTACACATTTTGGAATGGTTAAGTGTAGCTAATTAAAATATGCATTTCCTCACAGTTATTTTTATGGTGAGAACATTTAACATTCATTCTTAGCATTGTTTAAGAATGTAATCCATCATTATTAAGTATAGTCACTATGCTGAAAAACAGATTTCGTGAACTTATAACTCCTATATAACTATAATTTTATATATTTTGACCAATGTCTCCCCAGTCCTCTTCACAGCCACCCCAACCTCTGGTAACCACCATTTTATTCTCTACTTTTATGAGATCAACTTTTTTAGATTCTGCATGCATGAGCTTATATAGTATTTGTCTTTCTCTCTGGCTTATTTCACTTAGCATAATGTCCTCCATGTTGTCATGAATGACAGATTATTCTTCTTTTTCATGGCCGAATAGTGTTTCGTTGTGTGTACATACAGGCATACCTTGAAGATATTGTGGGTCCAGCTCCAGAACCCTGCAATAAAGTGAATATCACAATAAAGTGAGTCACACAAATTTTTTGACTTCCCAGGATATGTAAAAGTTTTGCTTACTGTATACAATAGTCTATCAAGTGTGCAATAGAATTATGTTTAAAAAACAATGTGTAAACCTTAATTAAAAATACTTCATTGCTAAATAATGGTAATGATTCTCTGAGCCTTCAGTAGGTTATAATTTTTTTCTAGCGGAGGATTTTGCATTGATGTTGATGGCTGCTAATGATTAGGGTGGTGGTTGCTGAAGACTGGAGTGACTGTGGCAGTTTTTTAAAATAAGAAATAATTTAACAGCTGCATTAGCTCCTAACAAGAGACTCAGCTTGTTCTTTGAAGCTTTAAAGCCAGACATTGGCTTTTCACTAGCTTTGAAAGTCCTAGATAGTATCTTCTTCCAATAGAAGCCTGTTTCATCTACATTGAAAATGTATTATTTAGTGTAACTATCTTCATCAATTATTTC
The DNA here is from genome assembly GCF_000001405.40 of Homo sapiens. NCBI lineage: Eukaryota > Metazoa > Chordata > Mammalia > Primates > Hominidae > Homo > Homo sapiens. The sequence goes on along the minus strand of NC_000004.12, from coordinate 134,939,785 downwards.
AGCTAGATCTTCTGGATAATTTGCTGTTTTACCTTGAGCTTTCTTTCCTTAAACCTCAAGAACCAACATTTGATAGTTTCAAACTTTCTTCTGCAGCTTCCTTACCTCTCTCAGCCTTCAGAGAATTGAAGAGAGCTAGGGTCATGCTCTGAATTAGGATTTGACTTAAAGGAATGCTGTGGCTGGTTTGATTTCTGTTCAGACCATTAAAACTTTCTCCATATCATATCAATAATGAGACTGTTTCACTTTCTTATTATTCATGTATTCACTGGAGTGACACTTTTAGTTTTTTTAAGGAACTTTTCCTTTGCATTCACAATTTGGTTGTTTGGTACAATAAGCCTAGCTTACAGGCTATCTCAGTCTTTGACATGCCTTCTTCACTAAACTTAATCATTTCTGGCTTTGATTTAAAGTGAGGGACATGCAACCCTCCTTACTTGAAAACTTAGAGGCCATTGTAAGGTTATTAATTGGCCTAGTGTCAATATTGTTGTGTCTCAGGGAAGAGGGAGGCCTAAGGAGAGGAAGAGAGAAGGGGAAATGGCTGGTCAGTGAAGCTATCAAATACAGACAATATTTATCAATTAAGTTCACTGTCTTACATGGGTGTTTGAGGTTTGTGGTGCCCCCAAACAATTATTACAGTGACATAAAGCATCAGTGATCCAAGATTACCATAACAGATATAAAATCGTGAAAAAAGTTTGAAATATTGTGAGAATTACCGAAGTGTGACAGAGAGACACGAAGTGATACTATACTATTGGAAATGTAGCACTAATACACTAGCTTGATGCAATGTTACCGCAAACCTTCTTAAAAATCTAAAATCTGTAAAGCATAATTAAGTAAAGTGCAATGAAACAAGATATGTCTATGTCATATTTTTTAATTAATTCATTCATTCATTGATGGACACAGGTTGATTCTGTATCTTGGCTATTGTGAATAATGCTTCAATCAACATATGGGGGCAGATATGCTTTTGACATACTGACTTGCTTTCCTTTAGGTATACACTGAGTAATGGGATTGCTGGGTTACATGGTAATTCTATTTTTAAGTTTAGAGGAACCTCCGTAACTGTTTTCCATAATGAGTATACTAATTTACATTTCCACCAACAGTGTGCAAGCATTTCCTTTACTTTACATCCACGCTATCATTGTAATCTTTTGTCTTTGTTGTAATAGCCATCCTCACAGAAGTGAGGTAATATGTCATCACAGTATAATTTGCATTTCCCTAATAATTAGTGATGTTAAGGATTTTTTTTCATATATCTGTTGTTCATTTGTATATTTTCTTTGGAGAGATGTCTATTTAAGTCCTCTGCCCATTTTTTAGTTGGGTTATTTGTATTCTTGCCATTGAATAGTTTGAATTCTTTATAAATTTTAGGTATTATCCCATTATCAGATGCATAGCTCGCAAATATTTTCTTCCTCAAGAAAATGTTTTCAAACCTCAAGAGTGTTTCCTCACTCTTGATATTTTCTGTTGCTGTGCAGAACATTTTTAGTTTGATGTAATCCCATTTGTCTATAGTTGTTTTTGTTGCCTGCAATTTGAAGTTATATCCAAAAAAAAGTTGTCAAGACCAATTTCATGAAGCTTTTCCTCTGTGTTTTATTCTAGTAATTTCATAGTTTCGAGTCTTACATTTAAGTCTTCAATGCATTTTGAGTTAATTTTTGTATTTTTTCGTGAAATAAGGGCCTAATTTCACTCTTCTGCATGCAGGCATCCCGTTTCCCACCACCATTTGTTGAAAAGACTGTCCTGTCCCCATTGTGTGTGCTTAGCACTTTGATAAAAAATCAGATGGCTATTAAGGTGTGGATTTTCTGGGCTCTCTATTCTGTTTCATTGGTCTATGTGTCTTGTTTTATGCTAGTATTACACTTTTTTGTTTGCTATATTGTAGTATATTTTGAAGTCAGGTAATGCAACGCCTTCAGCTTTGTTCTCCTTGTTCAACATTGCTTTAGCTATTCAGAGACTTTTGTGGTTCTAAACAAATTTTAGGATTATTTTTTCTATTTCTGTAAAGAATGACAGTAATATTTTGACAGGGATAGCATTGAACCTGTGTATCACTTTAGGTGGTATGGACATTTTAACAAGTTTAATTCTTCCAAACCATATATATGGGATATCTTTACATTTATTTGTGTCTTGTTTAGTTTCTTTAACCACTGTTCTATAGTTTTCAGTGTAGAGATTTTTCACCTCCTCGTTTAAATTTATTTCTAATTATTATATCTTTTTTTAGCCATAGTAAATGAAACTGTTTTCTTGATTGCTTTTTCATATTGCTCACCATTAGTGTATGAAATGCTACTGATTTTTTGTATTGATTTTGTATTCTGTAAGTTTACTGATTTCATTTATTAGTTTTAACAGTTTTTTGGTGGAGTCTTTAGGATTTTTATATCTAAGATTTTGTTATCTACAAACAGGGACAGTTTACCTTTTTTTCGCAATTTGGATGTCTTTTCTTTCTTCCTCTTGCCTAATTGCTATAGCTAGAACTTCCAGTACTGGGTTAAATAGAAGTGGCTAGCTTGGCCATTGTTGTCTTGTTCTCAATCTTAGATGGAAAGCTTTCAATTTTTCTCCATTGAGTATGGTGTTAGCTGTGGGTTTGTCATATACAGTCCTTATTATATTGAGATGCATCTCTTCTGTAATTAATTTGCTAAGAGGTTTTTTTAATTATGAAAGGATGTGACATTTTGTATAATGCTGTTTCTACACCTATTGAAATAATCATATGGTGTTTCTTCTTTATTATGTTAATGTGATGTATGAGATTAGTTGACTTGCGTATGGAGTCATCCTTGCATCCTTGGAATGAATCCCACCTTATCATGGTAAATGATCTTTTAAATATTCCATAATATTTGGTCGGAAAATATTTTGTTGAAGATTTTTGCACTTAAGTTCACCAGGGATATTGGCCTATAGTTTTCTTCTTTTGTAGTGTCCATGTCTGAGTTTGGTGTCAGGATAATACTGGCCTTGTAAAATAAATGTGGAAATATTCCCTCCTCTCTAATTTTTTGGAAAAGTTTGAGAAGAATTAGTATTAGTTCTTCTTTAAATGTCTGGTAGAATTCAAAAGTGAAGTTATCATGTCCTGAGAATTTCTCTGATGAGAGACTTTTTATTACTAATTATAATCTCCTTATTCATTATTGGTCTGTTCAGATTTTCTATTTCTGCATAATTCAATGTTGGTAGATTATATACGTCAAAAAATTTATCCATTTCTTCTAGGTTATCCAATTTGTTGGCATATATTTATTCATAATAGTTTCTTGTAATCCTTTGTATTTCTGTGGTATCAGTTGGAGTGTCACCCTTTTAATTTCTGATTTTATTTGAGTCTTTATTTTGAGTTTATTTAGATGAGGGGCTTATCTTGGGCCTGTTTCATAAGTGCACTTATTCCATTCATGTGGGCTCCCTTTCTATGACCTAATCACCCCCGCGCCCCAAAGCCTTCATGTCCTAAAACTATCACCATGGGAGTTAGGATTTTAACATATGAATGCAGGGCTCGGGGGTAGGGGGAGACACACATTCACACCATAGCAATGCCCAGGTCTTAATCCCCAGACCCTGTGAATATGTTCAGGTCCTGGCATGATGAGCTTAAGTTGCTAGTCACCTGATTGTTTTTAAAAAAAGGCATTAACCTGAATTATCAGAATAGAAGCAATGTAATCACAAGGGTCCTTAAAATGGTAGTAGTATGTGGAGGAGAGAATAAGAAGGAGACATATGAGAGAAAAATACAGAGAAATGCAAATTTGGTGGTTTTAAACATGGAGGAAATAGTCCATGACCTAAGGAATGTGGACATTCTCCAGAAGCTAAAAAGGCAGAGAAACATTCTCCCTAAGAGCTACCAGAAAGAAGTAAAAACCCTTCTGAGACCTTGATTCTATCCCAGAATGACACATGTCAGACAACCGACCTGCTGAACTGTAAAATAATGAATTTGCATTCTTTTAGGCCACTAAAAGTGTTGTGATTTCTTGCAGTAGCAATGGGAAAGTAATATAAATTAATCTAATTGTTCATTCTGTTTGCTTTTAAAATGAAACAAATATTCACAGGGCACCTTGAGCTAAGTTCTTGAGGTGATATCACTATTTACATATTTGCATAGGATAGCATTTATCTAAGATATAGTAAGGGATATTCCAAATAAATTGTTGTTACAATAGAAATGGGTATCCAGGTTGGGCCAGAAGGGGGTGCTCATGTATAGAGCAACACTGCCACTGCCTCATCCATCATCAGACTGAGAGTAGGGCGCAATTTATTGGATTATCAATCCTGTGAATACATGCACATTCGATGAAAAATCCAGAACCTATGACTGAAACTGTGACAATCAGAAGACTCAATATTTTGTATTTATTCTGGGCTATTTATTCCATATATGAATAAGTAATTTTTGAAGAAAAACAACTTCAAGTAAACATTCATTTCTTGCTCTGAAAATATGAACAATATAGTTCATAGTATTTAACATAGTGTCTACATTTCTATTATACAAAGTTTTGAGGTAGAAGACAAAAATGTATTTCTTTGCTACAAAGTTTGGGTAGAATTATCGATATTTACGGTGTGATTATACATCATAGAAATATTTTATTATCGTTACCAGAATTGGTTGTCAAATAAGTTGGCCACCTTGGTGATGTCCTCTTTATTTTATGATCATGTAGTCATGACTTAAAACATTTTGAACTTTTGTGTTGGACTTGCTTTAAACAATAATTGATGAATATTCCCAGAATATTAGGCTTACTGATTTTTATTTATATCTGCGGCTCTATCTTGCTGCTATCTTCAGTTTTATATTTACTCATTATGGTAGTGGCTTGGCTTTAATATCACGTTGTTGATGGAACTTTTATTTCAAAAATTAAATATACGTACATTAAAATCTTGCCCTGATTGAGGATGTTTAAATCATCAATAAATAGTGGTTGCATGAAGCAATACAAACAGAAAATTTTCATTCACACACCCATATACACACCCAAAGGTGAAGAATTCTGCTATACATGGAATAAATGCCATTCTTCCCTGCCAGAAGCTTACCTTCATGCCTGCCACTGTCTCCGTATACTATACGTGTGAGGCTGCGTAAACCACATCAAAGGCCTAAATCTAAAGCAGCCCCAGGGTGAAGTAAATGAATGGGTTTGTTTGTCTCTTGTTTTTGTCACTGATTTAACATTGTTCGGTGATTCCCGTAAAATAAGAAATATCTTTGTTTCTTATAACCGATTCTCTGAGTTACACCCATGTTTTAGTAATCCATTATTGATTTCTCTCCCATTTTAGTTTGTCCATCTTGTCCCATAGTCAATCATTCTATTTGTCTGGGGCAAAGTTGTTGCCTTTTTAAAACGTGGTCCTCCTACTTAATGAAGCCTTGTCCTTTCGTTGTCACCCATTCATATAGGTTTACGTAACCCACAGCTACAAGACGCTTTCAATACTTTATCATCATTCTGGAAAATTCCTGGTAGCCTAGGAACCTGGAACCTAGTAACCTTTGATGTTGATTGCATGCTGCTCTAGCCTACCTTGTATTCTCTGTTGCTAAGATCTTCCCTTCCAAAAAGAACAGATTTATTGAATAGATCCATCCAAGTTTCAGATTGGCTTCTCTCTAAATTGAATCCCAAAGTTACTATTTATTAGATAATTCAGCATTTATTGGTTGTGTTTATACTTCTTAAACAACAAAGCATGCACAAATATTATCTGTAGCTATTTAAAATAGATGATATGGAGGCTAAGTAGAAATGGGCTATTTATAGATAACAGAGCTATTTGCAAAGAATTGTATCAGCTTCTTGAAAATCATCAGGGCGTTGTCTAATATTTAGATAAGCAGAAAAACAAGTGAATGCTCAATCAAATCTAGTTTTGTTATGTGTCAGGCACCGGGAATCTTTTTTAATGAATTAATAATTCTTAGAATATCTCCTACATCCATACTAATAGGCTGCATTTTTTCATTTGTCCTGCTTATCACAAGTGTGGCTAACTTCATATTTGTTTCAATGATGGAATTCTTTCAGAGTGTTTTGGCCTTTTAGTCAATTTGGTATGCTTTTTACTGTTTTGCCACAGTTAGAAAGGATTGATCAGTTACTATATAAGTCTCCTACATACTAGAAGGCTACTTTATATATCTGGGTCAAGACACTTCATAAATAGCTGAACACATGTTTTATTGGTTTAATATTGCAGGTGGTTATATCACTTTCATAGAAGAGCTTTTACTTTCTTTAATTTCAATGCAGAATCTGGCAAGTGAACTGATAATCAATCACATTTGTTCTGTGCTTTTTAAAAGCTTAAATGCTTCACTGTGAAAAGCTGCTACTGAGAAGACAGTGGGGTTTCAGAAGGATTTTTATTAGACAGGCCCTATGCTAGCTTAAAAATGATTTAATTTTCAATGTGCATATAGCACAGATATTACCATTGCAGAAGAACTTATGGGGTATAAAATATCAATTTACATTTTTTCAAGATCCAATCATTTTAAATAGATGTTGTGTCTGTGGGCAATTTCACATGGGAGATAGGAAATGGAATGATAAAACAACAAGCAGGTGCAGCAAGTGAATTCATCTTTACTGGATATCTGAAATCATGAAATTCAAGTAGCATTTACTGTTCTCTTTTATTTCTACAGCTGCAAGTTGTAATGGAAAGCGCACCTCTCTGGAACTCGGGAGTCTTGGATCCTACACATGGTTCTATGCATAAATAGAAATGAAATTAGCTTCCTGGATACTAAGCTAGTATTAATCAGGTGATTCTAATTAAAATCACTCTGCTAGCTAAACACTATTCAGCAAGATTTTGGTTACCCCAAGAACATTCTGAGACAATTGTATCTATAATTGATAAGACTTGACAATAATCTTTCTTCCTGAAGTGTGTTGTTAACTTTTTGGTTGACTCTTAGCAAAGTACATAGCATATAGTAGGCATTCAATAAATGTTCATTCATTTTTTGCATATTTTCAAATGTTATTTTTTGCCATCCATGTTTGTTTTAAGGGGTGGGCAGTTAATCTACGTTGCCATTCATGAATTTCTTCTCAAATATCTCCTGCCTCTTTTATTTCTCCATGGAGTGAAGGATGAGAGGTATGATGTGTAGGGGGTGTTTCTTAGCTGTGTTTCAACAAGCTCATTATTATGATACTGAGACATAATTAAGATTGATAATATTTACTTAATGTTAATTTTCCTATAAGAATTGCAAGTGAAACATTATCTTATTTTAAGCCTCAAAATAGCTTTGGGATATAGATACTATTATTACTATAAATGAGGAACTGAACTGAGAGGGTCTAAGTGGTTTCATCAAGTTCACACAGTCAGTAATTGGTGGAACCTAGATTCAAATGATTGTTTTTGTCCATCTCCAATGTATTTTAATGCAAGCACTTCAGTAATGAATTATAAATTAGAACTGGCAAGACTCATTTTCACTCTCAAGATTTTTATAAACCCAATAGAATTACTCCTCAATAAAAATGTGTTAATCTTTGAAAGAAGATTTATTTTGATAAAAAGCCAAAATATCAGTTAATTGTATCTATTAAATATATAAGCTATTTTATGAACTTGCTAATTGAATCTAAGTTCGCATTTATGTCTCTACTTAACATCTGGAAAAGATACCTGTCTCTCTTAGGCATATAAAGAAATTTGAAATACTGAAATTATCTGCTTATAGAAACACTGAATCATTTACTGACAACTTCCCACATTAGCAATGTAAGATTTAAAACACCTGAAAAAGTTGTTAAAAAAAATGATCTCTGAAGATTTAGATATATGTTCGATGAGTCATATGTCAGAAATGAGTTGATTATTCATTTATTGACTCTCTTCCTACTGAGATATATGCAGATACACAAAACAGACTGTTAAAAACAGGCAAGCAGACAAACACATAGAAAACCAAATCATTAAAGTTATGATCCATTAATTACACTTCACATCAAACAGATATATTATTTTCAGAATGCTTAGGACTGAGTGTTCTTGAAGAATAAAACGTTTCAGACTAAAGAATTGAAAGCAACAGAGCTAGATGACATAAGGCTAAACTGTGGGGAATTTTTAAATGTTACAGGAGAAGTTATTTAGAAGCAGAACTGGGCACAAGCAACACTAACTACATAGTTCTCAACACTGCCTGTGTGTTGCAGTCACTTTGGGAGCCTTTAAAAATAGGGATGCTAAGACTCTACCCTTAAAAATGTCAATTTTCTTGGCTTGGTTCCAGATCATTTAAAATTGTTACCATCTAGTTGATTCAAATGTTCAGCCAAAGTCAAAAACGATTTCATTTATATATGGCTTCATTAAAAACAATCCCCAAATTTATTGACCTAAGAATAATTTATTCCTTTTCAAATAAGTTCACCTCATAGCTGTTCTGCTCTACTTGGTATTGGCTGAAGTCACCCACTTGGTTGAATTCAGCAGGCAGAATAGGCTGAGCTGGAGGGTCCAAGAAGGCTTCACGCTCATAGCTGGGTCTCGAGGGCTTTGTACCTGGCCTTTCTCTCTCTGTGAGATGCCTCGTTACTTATGAACTCTGACCATGTGATGGCTGTAGTATGTAGTATGTAGTATTGTACTATGATGGCTGCATCTCCTGAAGAGGAAGGAAGTAGAAACTGCTGGTTTTATTTAAAAACTGGCCTTGGAAGTATCATAATGTCACTTATGTAAGTATCAAGGGCACCCCATATTCAAAGGAAAGGAAACTTGACTATATGTCTTCATGTGAGAATTGGCAAAACTCTTGTGGCCTTCTTTACTCCACTGGAACCACTCCTGTAATCCTACTAACTCTCGCTTAGGTACCTGTGCTGTGGCCTTCAAAGTAGGTTGGAGAGCACAGTTTCAATCAAGGACAAGGTAGAAAATAAATAAGTTGGGAAGGAAAATTTTAGTGATAATGCTCATATACTGAAGTGGTAAAGAAATATATCAGTCATATGATCACAGTGTCAGAGAGAAATTTTTAGAAAACTTTTAGCAATAGCATAAGAGTTAAATGTCATACAGTTGGAATCATACAATACATAGCCTTTTCAGATTGGCTTTTTAAAAAAAAGTTCGTGATATGTATTTAAGATTCTTTTGTGTCTTTTTTTGGTTTGATAGCTCATTTCTTTTTAGTACTGAATAACATCCCCTTATTTTTAGTACTGAATAACATCCCATAAAAAACACTTTTTATTTATTCATCTTCTGAAGGACCTCTAGTTATTTTGTTAATGACGAATTTTGGCAATTATGAATAAAACTGCTATAAACCATCCATGTGCAGGTTTTCTTGTGGACATGTTTTCAACTCATTTAGGTAAATGCCAAGATGCAAAATTTCTGGTCAGAGCTATGTATACCTTGTAAGAAACTGCTAAACCATCATCAAAAGTGACTGTACCATTTTTCATTGCCTGCAGCAATGAATGAAAAGTTTCTGTTTCTCCATATTCTTCCCAGCATTCGGTATTGTCAGTGTTTCGGATTTTGATTATTTCATAGGTGTGTAGTAGTATCTCGTTGCCTTAATATGTCTTTCTCTGATGACATATATTATGGAGTAAGTTTTCATATGCTTATTTGCAATCTGAGCACACTGTTCAGATATTTTGCTAATTTTTTTACTGGGTTGGTCCTCTTCTTCTTTTCTTCTGTTTTTGTTTGTTTGAGACAAGATTGGGCTCTCTTCCCCAGGCTGGAGTGCAGTGGTGCAATCTCGGCTAACTGCAACCTCCACCTCCTATGCTCAAGTGATTCTCCCACCTCAGCCGCCAGAGTAGCTGGGATTACAGGTGTGTGCCACCACGCCTGGCTAATTTTTGTATTTTTTGTAGAGATGGGGTTTTGCCACACTGCCCAGGCTGATCTCAAACTGGTGAGCTGAAGTGATCTGCCCTCTTCAGCCTCCCAAACTGGTGGGATTAAGGTGTGAGCCACTGTGCCCAGCCTCACTTTCTTATTGTTGAGTTTTAAGAGTTCTTTTATACATTATGGATGACTATCATTTATCTTTTATTTCTTTTTCAAATATTTTCTTTTAGTATGTGGCTTGTCTTCTCATTCTCTAACAGTGGGGTTTGTAGAACAGATAATTTTTTTCCAAATTATGTATAATAAAGTCCAAGTTATCAATGATTTCTTTCTCAGATTGTGCCTTTTGTTTTGCAAATAAAACCTCATTGTCATACCAAAGGTCGTCTACGTTTTCTTTTATGTTATCTTCTAAGAGTTTACCCTGCACTTTTTTGTGTCACTTATTAGCCTGAAGAATTAACAGAGCTACTTTTTACGGCAATATTTTGTTAGTTAATGAAGTTAAGTACACAATATTTTTGAGTACAGCAAAATCAAACAGTTGCTTTACTTAGTTTCAATGAATAACTATTTGATTATGAAAATAATTCTTGTGAGGTAATAATTACATTTTTTAGAAAAAAGAAACAGAGGTTTTTCCATTCCAAGATGGCTGAATAGGAAGAGCTCTGGTCTGCAGCTCCCAGTATGATCAATGCAGAAGACGGGTGATTTCTGCATTTCCAACTGAGGTACCTGGTTCATCTCATTGAGACTGGCTGGATGGTGGGTGCAGCCCACGGAGGGTGAGCCAAAGTAGCGCAGGGCATCACCTCACCCAGAAAGTGTGCAAGGGGTTGGGGGATTTCCTTTTCCTAACCAAGGGAAGCCATGGCAGACTGTACCTGCAAAAATGGGACACTCCTACCCAAATACTGTGCTTTTCCCATAGTCTTAGCAACTGGTAGGCCAGGAGATTTTCTCCCGTGCCTGGTTCAGTGGGTCCCAGGCCCATGGAGCCTTGCTCACTGCTAGTGCAGCAGTCTGAGACTGACCTGCCAGGCTGCAGCCTGGCTGGGGGAAGGGTGTCTGCCATTGCTGAGGCTTGAACAGGTAAACAAAGTGGCCGGGAAGCTCAAACTGCTTCCCACAGCTCAGCAAGGCCTACTGCCTCTATAGACTCCACCTCTTTGTGCAGGTCATAGCTAAACAAATGGCAGCAGAAACTTCTGCAGACTTAAACATCCCTCCCTGACAGCTCCAAAGAGACCAGTGGTTCTCTGAGCACGGCATTTGAGCTCTGAGAACAGACATACTGCCTCTTCAAATGGGTACCTGACCCCCATGTAGCCTAACTGGGAGATACCTCCCAGTAGAGGCCGACAGACACCTCACACAGGTGGGTGCCCCTCTGGGACAAAGCTTCCAGAGGAAGAATCTGGCAGCAGTATTTGCTGTTCTGCAATATTTGCTGTTCTGCAGCCTCTTCTGGGGATACCCAGGCAAATAGGGTCTGGAGTTGACCTCCAGCAAACTCCAACAGACCTGCAGCTGAGGGACCTGACTGTTAGAAGGAAAACTAACAAACAAAAAGGAATAGCATCAACATAAACGAAAAGGAATAGCATCAACATCAACAAAAAGGACATCTACACCAAAGCTCCATCTGTAAGTCACTAACATCAAAAACCAAAGGTAGATAAAACCACAAAGATGGTTTTATCTAAAGATAAAGATAGAAAAGGGCAGAAAAGCTGAAAATTCTAAAAACCAGAGTGCCTCTTCTCCTCCAAAGGATTGCAGCTCCTCACCAGCAATGGAACAGAGCTGGTCAGAGAATGACTTTGATGAGTTGATAGAAGCAGACTTCAGAAGGTCGGTAATAACAAACTTCTCCAAGCTAAATGAGCATATTCTAAGTCATAGCAAGGAAGCTTGAAAAAAGGTTAAAACAAGGTTAGAAGAATGCCTAACTAGAATAAACAGCATAGAGAAGACTTTAAATGACCTGATGGAGCTGAAAACCATGACATGAGAACTTCGTGATGTGTGCACTAGCTTCAATAGCCGATTCAATTAAGTGAAAGAAAGGGGATCAGTGATTGAAGATCAAATTAATCAAATAAAGTGAGAAGACAAGTTTAGAGAAAAAAGAGTAAAAAGAAACTAACAAAGCCTCCAAGAAATATGGGACTGTGTGAAAAGGCCAAATCTACGTTTGATTGGTGTATCTGAAAGTGATGGGGAGGATGGATCCAAGTTGGAAAACACTCTTCACAATATTATACAGGAGAAATTCCCCAACCTAGAAAGGCAGGCCAACATTCAAATTCAGGAAATACACAGAACACCACAAAGGTATTCCTTGAGAAGAGCAACCCCAAGACACATAATTGTCAGATTCACCATGGTTGAAATGACGGAAAAAATGTTAAGGGAAACCAGAGAGAAAGGTCGGACTACCCACAAAGGGAAGCCCATCAGAGGAACAGCAGATTACTCTGTAGAAACCCTACAAGCCAGAAGAAAGGGGCCAGTATTCAACATTCTTAAAGAAAAGAATTTTCAACCCAGAATTTCATATCCAGCCAAACTAAGCTTCATAAGTGAAAGAGAAATAAAATCCTTTACAGACAAGCAAATGCTGAGAGATTTCATCACCACCAGGCCTGACTTACAAGAGCTCCTGAAGGAAGCACTAAACATGGAAAGGAACAACTGGTACCAGTCACTGCAAAAACATGCCAAAGGGTAAAGGCCATTGATGCTATGAAGAAACTGCATCAATTATTGGGCAAAATAACCAGCTAACATCATAATGACAGATCAAATTCACACATAACAATATTAACCTTAAATGCAAATGCACTAAATGCCCCAATTAAAAGACACAGACCAGCAAATTGGATAAAGAGTCAAGACTCATCAGTGTGCTGTATTCAAGAGACCCATCTCATGTGCAGATAGGATTAAAATAAAGGGATGGAGGAAGATCTACCAAACAAATGGAAAGCAATAAAAAGCAGGGGTTGCAATCCTAGTCTCTGATAAAACAGACTTTAAACCAACAAAGATCAAAAGAGGCAAAGAAGGCCATTACATAATGGTAAAGGGATCAATTCACCAAGAAGAGCTAACTATCCTATATATATATATGTACCCAGTATGGGAGCACCCAGATTCATAAAGCAAGTCCTTACAGACCTACAAGGAGACTCAGACTCCCACACAATAATAATGGAAGACTTTAACACCACATTGTCAATACTAGACAGATCAACGAGACAGAAGGTTAACAAGGATATCCAGGACTTGAACTCAGCTCTGCACCAAGTGGACCTAACAAACATCTACAGAACTCTCCACCCCAAATCAACAGAATATACATTCTTCTCAGCACAACATTGCACTTATTCTAAAATTCACCACATAATTTGAAGTAAAGCACTCCTCAGCAAGTCTAAAATAACAGAAATCACAACAAACTGTCTCTCAGACCACAGTGCAATCAAATTAGAACTCAGGATTAAGAAACTCATTCAAAACCGCACAACTACATGGAAACTGAACAACTTGTTCCTGAATGACTACTGGGTAAATAACGAAATGAAGGCAGAAATAAAGATGTTCTTTGAAACCGGTGAGAACAAAGAAACAACATACCAGAATCTTTGGGACACATTTAAAGCAGTGTGTAGAGGGAAATATATCGCACTAAATGCCCACAAGAGAAAGCTAGAAAGATCTAAAATCAACACCCTAACAGGATAATTAAAAGAACTAGAGAAGCAAGAGCAAACACACTCAAAAGCTAGCAGAAGCCAAGAAATAACTAAGATCAGAGCAGAACTGAAGGAGATAGAGACCCAAAAAAACCTTCAAAAAATAAAGGAATCCAGCATCTGGTTTTTTGAAAAGATCAACAAAATTGATAGACCACTAGCAAGACTAATAAAGAAGAAAAGAGAGAAGAATCAAATAGATGCAATAAAAAATGATAAAGCAGATATCACCACTGATTCCATAGAAATACAAACTACCATCAGAGAATACTATAAACACCTCTATGCAAATAACTAGAAAATCTAGAAGAAATGGATAAATTCCTAGACACATACACCCTCCCAAGACTAAACCAGGAAGAAGTTGAATCTCTGAATAGACCAAAAACAGGCTCTGAAATTGAGGCAATAATTAATAGCCTACCAACCAAAAAGTCCAAGACCAGATGGATTTACAGCCAAATTCTACCAGAGGTACAAAGAGGAGATGGTACCATTCCTTCTGAAACTATTCCAGTCAATAGAAAAAGAGGGAATCCTCCCTAGCTCATTTTATGAGGCCAGCATCATCCTGATACCAAAGCCTGGCAGAGACACAACCAAAAAAGTGAATTTTAGACCAATATCCCTGATGAACATTGATGCAAAAATCCTCAATAAAATACTGGCAAACCGAATCCAGCAGCACATCAAAAAGCTTATCCACCATGATCAAGTCAGCTTCATTCCTGGGATGCAAGGCTGGTTCAACATATGCAAATCAATAAACTTAATCCATCACATAAACAGAACTAACAACAAAAACCACATAATTATCTCAATAGATACAGAAAAGCCCTTTGTGAAACATTGAACATCCTTTCATGCTAAAAACTCTCAATAAACTAGGTGTTGATGAAACATATCTCAAAATAATAAGAGCTATTTATGACAAACCCACAACCAATATCATACTGAATGGGCAAAAACTGGAAGCATTCCATTTGAAAACTGCCATAAGACAAGGATGCCCTCTCTCACCACTCCTATTCAACATAGTGTTGGAAGTTCTGGCCAGGGCAATCAGGCAAGAGAAAGAAATAAAGATACTCAATTAGGAAAAGAGGAAGTCAAATTGTCCCTGTTTGCAGATGACATGATTGTATATTTAGAAAACCCCATCATCTCAGCCCAAAATCTCCTTAAGCTGATAAGCAACTTCAGCAAAGTCTCAGGATACAAAATCAGTGTGCAAAAATCACAAGCATTCCTATACACCAATAACAGACAAACAGAGAGCCAAATCACTAGTGGACTCCCATTTACAATTGCTACCAAGAGAATAAAATACCTAGGAATCCAACTTACAAGGGATGTGAAGGACCTCTCCAAGGACAACTACAAACCACTGCTCAACGAAATAAAAGAGGACACAAACAAGTGGAAGAACATTCCATGCTCATGGATAGGAAGAATCAATATTGTGAAAATGACCATACTGTCCAAGTAATTTGTATATTCAATGACATCGCCATCAAGCTACCAATGACTTTCTTCATAGAATTGGAAAAAACTAAATTTCATATGGAACCAAAAAAGAGCCCACATTGCCAAGACAATCCTAAGCAAAAAGAACAAAGCTGGAAGCATCACGCTACCTGACTTCAAACTATAATACAAGGCTACAGTAACCGAAACAGCATGGTACTGGTACCAAAACAGATATATGCACCAATGGAACAGAACAGAGGCCTCAGAAATAACACCACAGATCTACAACCATCTGATCTTTGACAAACCTGACAAAAACAAGAAATGGGGAAAGGATTCCCTATTTAATAAATGGTGCTGGGAAAACTGGCTAGCCACATATAGAAAGCTGAAACTGGATCCCTTCCTTACACCTTATACAAAAATTAATTCAAGATGGATTAAAGACTTAAATGTTAAACCTAAAGCCATAAAAACCCTAGAAGAAAACCTAGGCAATACCATTCAGGACATAGGCATGGGCAAGGACTTCATGACTAAAACACCAAAAGCAATGGCAACAGAAGCCAAAATTGATAAATGGGATCTAATTAAACTAAAGAACTTTTGCATGGCAAAAGAAACTACCATCAGAGTGAACAGGCAACCTACAGTATGGGAGAAAATGTTTGCAACTTACCCATCTGACAAAGGGCTAATATCCAGAATCTACAAAGAAGTTAAGCGAATTTACAAGAAAGAAATAAACAACCCCGTCAAAAAGTGGGCAAAGGATATGAACAGACACTTCTCAAAAGAAGACATTTATGCAGCCAACAGACACATGAAAAAATGTTCATCAACACTGGTCATCAGAGAAATGCAAATCAAAACCACAATGAGATACCATCTCATGCCAGTTAGAATGGCGATCATTAAAGAGTCAGGTAACAACAGATGGTGGTGAGGATGTGGAGAAATAGGGACGCTTTTACAGTGTTGGTGGGAGTGTAAATTAGTTCAACCATCCTGGGAGACAGTGTGGTGATTCCTCAAGGATCTAGAACTAGAAATACCATTTGACCTAGCAATCCAATTACTGGGTATATACCCAAAGTATTATAAATCATGCTACAATAAAGACACATGCACACATATGTTTATTGCAGCACTATTCACAATAGCAAAGACTTGGAACCAACCCAAATGTCCATCAATGATAGACTGCATTAAGAAAATGTGGCATATATGCACTATGGAATACTATGCAGCCATAAAACAGGATGAGTTCATGTCCTTTGCAGGGACATGGATGAAGCTGGAAACCACCATTCTCAGCAAACTATAACAAGGACAGAAAACCAGACATCACATGTACTCACACATAGGTGGAAGTTGAACAATGAGAACACTTGGACACAGGGCGGGGAACATTACACACCAGGGCCTGTCAGGGGGTGTGAGGCTAGGGGAGGGATAGCATTAGGAGAAATACCTAAGGTTAATGACGAGTTGATGGATACAGCAAACCAACATGGCACATGTATATCTATGTAACAAACCTGCATGTCATGCACATGTACCCTAGAACTTAAAGTATAATAATAAAAAAAGATGAAAGAAAAAGAAAAAAATAATCCTGAAAATGTCAAGTAAAATTTCTACTAAGATAACAAAATAAATAAAATTCATAAATATCTTGAATGTCTAGTCTGTATATAAGTGTGCATGTGTGTGTGAATCAAAATAACTAACAGAAGTAGACAATTTTATTTTTTCAATAGGATGCCCTGAGTCAGATCCTCATTCTTTTTTCCCCTGTGAAGTGCTTATAATTTGCTTCCCTTCTCTTGCCTGCTTGCTATGTAACATAAGACTGATGCCTCCCTGTGGGAAACGAAACTTGATCAGAAAACAGGCTGCATCTCCTCCTAAAGAAATTATGCCTTAGTGACTGCTGATGTTGGCTCTGTCATAATGGAAATGTATAATTAATGCCTTTGCTTCAATAGTTTTGGAAATAGAACCACCTGAAACTGAATGAAAAAAAAAAGGATTTAATATTGAACTCTCTCTCTGTCTAACCATTAATGCATTAGATCATAGGAACTGAAGTTTACTAAAATGGAATGATTGAATTTTCAATACTTGAGTTGGTTATTGTGCCTATAGTTGAAATACTGAATAATAGAAATCTGCCATGTAAAATCAAAGAGAATGAAGAGTCAGTTCTATGAGAGGTAAGATCCTTTTATAAGTCTGGAAAATCAAGCTATTTATATAGTTTTTCTCTCAGTGTTTTGGTTTTAATACATTTTTAATTTAAGACTTGCATTTGCTTATGATATAAAGATCTAAAATGTATTTTTAAAATATATGATGACCTCAAAATATTTCCAGTTAACATTTTTTTTCTTGTTTTTGAATTCACAGTAGAGGCTGAACATCTGGTAATATGATTCAAATGTCCTCCATCTTCTCACCCTTGAGATTTAATTTGACTATCTGCTATTTATATTTTGATTCAAATTTCAAAATGCCTACTTTAGTCTACTGCAATATGTGCTAGGGGATTTCAAATGGATGAATCCAATATATCCTTTAAGATAGATAGTTCTCCCAATCCTCAAAATATTACTGCTAGGTAGAGCAATATTTATCAAAGGAAAAGAAAATCTGCAATAGGAAAATGACTTTATCAATCCAACATTGTTATATTTTATAGACAAATGCAATCCAATAAAATATTAATAATTAAAATAAGAATATTAATTTAGTAACTACAGTAACCAGGATGACAATTAGTTGAAAAATAAATGTAAGTATTTTGGAAGGAAATTCTCAGAAAAAAAGATTAATTATACCTTTTGTTAACTGATATAAATTGAGAATATTATTCAAAATTCTCACCAGACTCTGCACCCGGAAGGCATTGCCAATTTTTCTGATTTTATAACCTAGATATTCTCTTTCTTACTAAGCCATCTTAGATAATTTATATGTAACTTTTCACAGTGGAGTGCTTGCAGTGGCTAATATCAGTGTTTGTGATCCTACTGAAATTTTGTGAGCCAGTGAATGTCATGTTCATAGCTTGAATCACCTGTGGTTAAAAATGTTTGCACCATAGAAAGTGGCGTAAACACTACAAGTCAAGATCTTTTTTTTTTTATACTTGTTAAACATATATCAAACATATATCGAACATAGAGAACACAAATCACTAAACTTTAGTTTTTCTATTTGTAATATATGGGTAATCATTGCACCCGCCTTTAACTTTTTTGGTTATTTTGTAAATTGATATTTTGAAATATGTTGAATGGTAGATGATGTAAAGTAAGCTCTAAATAAATGTGATTATCTAGTAAAACTAAAATATCCAAGTTAAAACCATTAAAGCTAGATCTGATACATTCTACAAGTATACATTGAATGCCTCATAGTGCTAGGTCCTATTTTAGACACTTGGCTTAGATTAGTTAATGAAACAGATTCCTAGCCTCCTAGTGTCTGCAATCACACTAAGGGAGGCAATATACCTGAGAAATTTTTACATAATTTAATATTTTTGAAGTGTCACCTACTGTTAAAAGAAAAGGAGGATAAAACAATGAGATGGTAAGGAGAGAAATTTTACATAGGGTGATCAGAAGTAGACATCGTGTGAGGATTCCACAAATGAGTTGTGAAAAAAAATACAAATATGATGACAAATATTTTTCTAGTTTTTCTAAAGGCATAAAAAGATTTATTGAACAGATCTATTCTGACACTACATCTAACTCCATTTTTCCCAATCTTTTTTTTTTTTTTTTTTTTTTGTGACGGTGTCTCCCTCTGTCACCCACGCTGGAGTGCAGTGGCCCGATCTCAGCCCACTGCAACCTGCGTCTCCCAGGTTCAAGCGATTCTCCTGCCTCAGCCTCCCTAGTAGCTATGATTACAGGCGTGTGCCACAACACCTGGCTAATTTTTGTACTTTTAGTAGAGACGGGGTTTCACCACGTTGTCTATGCTGGTCTCTAACTCCTGCCCTCTGGCGATCCGTCCGCCTCGGCCTCCGTAGATGCAGGGATTACAGCGGTGAGCCCCCACGCCCAGCCCATTTCTTCCAATATGATTATTTTCTTGGCCAGTGGATATTAATAAAATGCTTGAAAAATCTGAACACCCAGTCTTGAACACCTGGTATTAAAGCATTTTAGTAGAATTTGAATTAAGTAGATTTGAACGCAATATTAGATAATCTAAATAATATAAAAAGCATTAGTTAGTTACCAATGAATATCGTGGATACAGAATATTTGTGGCTTGCCGATAGGGAGCGCTCACTGTTAATAAAATAAATTTCTGGAAGCTAAATTAGAGGTCTAGGGAATTAAGGCGTGAAGATCCTGAGGGACTTGTCGCTATCTCCCTTCTAATTAACTATTCCCATTTTACTGTAAGCTGCTATGCAACCGATTAAACTTACAGCAGTAGAAACTGTTATCACAGCTGAAAATTCTCAGGAAGGAATACTCTTCTCTCCTTTTCTCTGAGCCAAGAAAGGATATGGCTTCTCATTTTTCTTGATATCAAGTAATAGCTTCATTTTTTTAATGCAGTGCAAGTTTGGGGAGTATGGAGTTGCAAGGAGAAAGAAAGATTGAGCAAGAAAGAAGAAAGCTAAAAGAAAAATACAATGTAAAAATTATTTTAGAATTTCTATCACTTTTCTATGAAAGTAATTAGTACTTATTTTCTAATAAAGTTACTAAGTTATATAAAAATGGTAATTCTAGAGCATATAAAAATAATAATATAAATATTTTAAAATCTATTGTAAAAAAGCTATTTATTATAATAATAGTAGAGGCTTTCTGGTTATATACAATGGACCTCTTCTTTGCTTCTTCTCTACATCAAAATAATAGAAATAAAAAATGAAGCTTTAAAAACATTTTCTTTTTTCTACATATTTAGTAAATATTGTTTTACTGTAATATATTCTTAACTATCTGAGCACTACTTAACAGAACATGTTTTAGCATGAAGGTAGAGCATTTTGTATAGTGAAATGTGTACATAAATAAAGCTATGAATTAAAATAAAATTTCATGCCTTATAATAGAAAAACTATTTCAGTGAGTATGAGGAATAGACATGACTACTTAGCCTGGTTTTGAAACACCGCAATAAAGAAAGGAACTTAAACAAATATTCTCTTTATATATGTTACTGTGAAAACATTACATATCACTGGCTCTTCAAGCATTTGATTTCTTTAAAAATAAAATTACACCTTAATTAAATTTTATTTCAATATATTAAACTGTTTTATATAATACATATGATACAAATATATATTTGTATTTTATGCATTTATACAGATATTTGTGTATTATTATAACAAATATATTAAACTGTATTATATAAATGCATATTTCCCCTTAGATAGTGAGAAGAATATAATAGAAATAGAAACGTAGAAGATTAGGAAAGAAAAGTAAAAAACAAAAAGAGGAAAAATGTGTTGTGAACTAAAAGGCTCTGATAGGTTTCCCTTTACCAGCCACAGGTGGTTTAGATGGTTTACAATCTAACTTCCGAAATGTAGGTTATTTACATATACTTCTATTCTGGAGTAGTATGTACATTATAACACACAAAATAAAAACTAAAAGTTTGAGAGAAAGATTTAATGTAAATAATTTATGATATTTATTAATGGTTTTTATACGTAATTAATTAACTAAATACATTAGTCTACCGATAGGCTGAACAGTTTCATGATAGAGAGCAGAGACACTGGGCCAGGCCCAAGTGCCTGGGTAGGAATTCCACTTCCTTGCTGTATGTACTTCCTGTGTTACAATGCTGTCTGTATCTGAATCCCTTTTTATGAAATGGCAATAATAATGTTACCAACCTCATAGAAATATTTAAATGATTAAATGAATTTTAAAAGCACTTAGAAGACTTAGTAGTAGTAGTAAGAACTTTTGAGTTGTAATTTCATCTTTTGTGATTCAGAGAATCAAAGATGCTAATTTGAAATTATTTTAACTTTTGATCATATTTGTTTTCCTTGGACAAAAAGCTATCTCATAGTAATATGTAAGTCCACATAAGAAAACTAGATCATGTCTGCACTTAAAGAAATAAGATTCTCATCTTGTAATCCCATGCAAATTACTTACTATAATTGAACTACTCAATATCTGTCTTTTCTGATACTGTAAATTATTCCTGCACACCAGTCTAAAAGCATTATGTTTCGCATTATGTTTCATACATGTTAAGCAAATGATCTCAAAATCCATCAAAAATATTTCAAAAAACTAAATAACTTAGCTATGTTGCCTCCATGCTTTTAAATAACGTATCCATGTGTGAGGTTTTATGAGTATTAGTTTTCTAGGGCTGCAGTAACAAAGTACCACAAACTGGATAACTTAACAGAAATGTACTGTCTCACAGTTCTGGAGGGTAGGAATCCAAAATTAAAATGTTGTCAGTGTTGTTGCCTTCTGGGAGCTGCAGGGGAGCATCTCTTCCATGCCTCTCCTAGCTTCTGGTACTTTCAGGCATTCCTTGGCTTGTAGATGGTGTTCTCCCTGTCTTCACATCATCTTCTCCCTGTGTGTATCAGTATCTTGTCCAAAGTGTACCTTTTTATAAATACATGCTCATATTGGATTACAGCCAACTCTAATAACGTCAAATTACCCTAATCATCTGCAAAAATCTTATTTCCAGATCAGATCACATTCACAGGTACTGCAGGTTAAGATGTTAGTAACTTTTGAGGGACAGAATTCAGCAACCCACAACAGTATGTAACACACTTTATTGTCTGTGGCAACAAAATAGTATTCCAATGAAAATGTGCTCAAATAGACTCTAAATAACACAGGGTAAAAAGAAAACTAGTTTCTCCCTTAAGGTATTATTTCACTTATGTTTTAAAATATCATTTTATGTTAAAGGAACAGAATAATTGTGTCTTTAAAATTCACTAGAAAAAATATGAATGAGAGGCACTCATCATAAAGAAGGTCAGCAAATTTGGAAGTTGTCTTTGCATGAACGAAAAGCATACAAAATACTTAAGGTGAGTTTTATCCTTAGTGAAAACAGACATGATTGCACATTTCAAATAATAATATTTGTAGATGTTTTGCCTGAGTTCTTGTCAAACATGGTTCATAGATCATCATTTCTACTTTTTTTTTTGAGCAGTAAAACTTTTTAATCACCTCGGTGCAGGTGGACTGAGTCTGAAAAAGGAGTCAGCAAAGGGAGATGGGGTGGGGCAGTTTTATAGCATTTGGGTAGGTAGTGGACAATTACAGTTAAAGGGGGTTTTCTCTTGCTCACAGGGGTGGGGGTCACAAGGTCCTCAGTGGGGAGCTCCTGAGACTCATTGTCCAGGAGAAGGAATGTCACAAATTCAATTGATCAGTTAGGGTGGGGCAGGAGCAAATCGCAATGGTGGAATGTCATCAGTTAAGGCAGGGATTGGCTATTTTCACTTCTTTTGTGGTTCTTCAGTTGCTTCAGGCATCTGTATGTATACGTGCACGTCACAGGGGATATGATGGCTTAGCTTCCGCTCAGATGCCTGACATTCCTGTCTTCTTATATTAATAAGAAAAACAAAATAAAAGAGTGATGAAGTTTTGGGGCAGTGAAAATTTTTTGGGGTAGTATGGAGAGATAATGGGCAATGTTTCTCAGGGCTGCTTCGAGAGGGATTAGGGGCAGCATGGAAACCTAGAGTGGGAGAGATTAAACTGAAGAAAGATTTTGGGATAAAGGTGATATTGTGGGGTTGTTAGAAGGAACATTTGCCATGTAGAATGATTAGTGATGGCCTGGATGTGGTTTTGTATGAATTGAGAAACTAAATGGAAGACACAAGGCCCGAATAAGAGAAGGAGAAAAACAGGTATTAAAGGACTAAGAATTGGGAGTATAACTAATATAAGGCTTTAGATCAGGACCTTAGGGGCAGTAGAATGTTCAGTTTGCTAATTTGTTCATTGTACCCTTCTTTGTATTTACAATACTTCGTTATATTTGGGTTTTGTTTACTTTCCAGAAGCCTATTAATACCTTTGGATAAAATTATAATAGTTAACTAAGTTAACATTAGATAATATAATTCCAATTACACTCAGATTAAGTAAGAATCCCATAGGCAATCTGTATATTTTCTAGATTAGAATTATACTAAAAGTTCTGATAGTTTTTTCTCAATGAATTGTATCTCCAAGGATAAAGATATCACATTTTGGATACTGAGACCAAAATTCAAGAGGAATTTCATAGGTTACATTCATACATATGCAGTTGTACATATGTGGAAGTATATGGCAACCAGTAGAAATGTAGGTTGTCTGGTAGCATCATAAGCAGTTATAGTGTTTTTTATGGACTGTGCATTAAAAAAAACCACCGAAACATTCAGGATGAGTAAAAAAAATCAACTAAGTGTTTTGAACTCTGTAATAATCCTAAATTAGCACACCTGGACACATAAGTTCTTTAACCTCTTTTCATAAAAGTTTTTATTTGCTAATCTAGACTGAATATGAGTCCTTCTAACACATCTCTTCAGGCACACAGCATGCAGGACTTCCTTTAAGGTTCGCTATATGCAGTAAACAGATTCCCCCATATTCACTTGTTCACAAACAGCTATTTTTAATCATCTCCTTAGTTTTAAGGCACTGGGGGAATAATTATTTTAATTGTTTTGTTTTCTCTGATGAATGCAGATTTAAAGCCAGAACTCTTGTCATGCCTGTGTACGTGATGTTATTCTGAAATGATACACAACTCAGTGAAGTGTAAAGAAAAATAATTATGGTCTCTTCACTTAACATGTCGATATGCTGAACAAATTTAAAATCATAGTTCAATAAGTCATAAAATATGAAAGTACCATACCAGAAGTCTTGTCAGTAATCTTAAGATATGGGTCCTATAACCCTATATATATATCTCAAAGCCATGGGACACTGGAAACATGAGAAGGAAGCATTATGGCACATTTATCATTTATACTGCATGTGAGGTTAAGACCCCTAGCTTTCTTATGATGGTTCCACTTCAGTGGTGTAGAAATAAATGTATCTCAGTACTCCTTTGCCTTCACAGTTATGCATTATACTGTAACAGATTTTCCAGCAAAAGACACTTTTTACACAGGCAGAAATGAAATATATGGGCCGTAACAATTCGGTGCCTCCTTTATAGTATGTTTCCTTAATCTATGCACAGTATGCAGGTGATAATTTTGATAATATCAAAACAATAATTTCATATGTTTTCAGAGGCCCTTGGTCACATTAACATTTGTAGAAACTCAAACCAACTTCACCAGATATATCAAACAAAAGTCAGGGAGCATTCAGTATGATTTCTAGATTTAGGAATTATTATATACTATTAGCAATGATTCAGAGACCTTAAATGTGGTCAGATAAAGCATATGAAACAAGCAAGCATTTTTTTTTTTTTTAAACTGCTGCTAGAAAACAGTTTGAATTGTTTTCATCTTTGATATATGGTGCTGATTCCTCTGTTTTCCCCAAGGAGTGTTTTCCACAAAAGCCCCAGGAGTCATGGGGAATCCTTGCGCAGAATGCATGCGTCAGGTTGCTAAGGGGACTTTCCTCCTTCATATTCCCCTAAGAAGGGGAGTGCCCACACTAAAGCTTATTAGGATGTTCTCTATAGTAGGTGCATGTTCATTAAATATGTAATCTCTTGATATATACGTTATACTTTCCATTCGATTCATGGGAAATAGATGTGTAAATGTCATTTCTAATGTCACCATGGGAGTTATAGGACTAATTCCTCTTTAACTATCTGAATTATATGCCTTATTTAAAAGTATTAATGAGATCAGAAAAAAATATATACTTTCATGTACGTCCGTGTGAAGAGACCACCAAACAGGCTTTGTGTGAGCAATAAAGCTTTTAATCACCTGGGTGCAGGCGATAAGGGTGGGGCCGTTTTATAGGATTTGGGTAGATAAAGGAAAATTACAGTCAAAGGGGATTTGTTCTCTGGTGGGCAGGGGTGGGGGTGGCTAGGTGCTCAGTGGGGGAGTTTTTGAGCCAGGATGAGCCAGGAAAAGGACTTTCATAAGATAATGTCATCACTTAAGACAAGGACCGGCCATTTTCACTTCTTTTGTGGTGGAATGTCATCAGTTGAGGCAAGGACCGGCCATATTCACTTCTTTTGTGGTGGAATGTCATCAGTTAAGGCGGGGCAGGGCATTTTCACTTCTTTTGTGATTTTTCAGTTACTTCCGGCCACCTGGGCATATACATGCAAGTCACAGGGGATGCGATGGCTTGGCTTGGGCTCAGAGGCCTGACATATACAACTTGGAAAAAATGACCTTTCATTAGGACAGTCCTCTAACAACTGCCAGAGATGTTTTTAATTTGGTTACATCTAGGAGACATAGGGGTAGAGGAAATATTAAATGTTTTAAATATACTATAAAGGCATTACTAGAACACATCTATGCAGGAAAGCATAGATGGTTCATTGAACCAAGATCTGGTTCAATGTGTTGATCTTACTGATGTGGCAGCGAAAGTGGTTCCTTTATTTGACAGGTACAAATCACCTAATTTTTAAATGTTTGACAATTGTACATAATCAAATTTACATAACTGTACAAATTTAATGTTTGACAATTATACATAATACAAAGAATGTTGGCAGTATCTCGGTATCTTGAAGCTATACTATGCTCATGAACTATTGTGCAAATATTTTTAAATATAGTGTATTTCTGGCTATTTTAAAGACTTAATTCAGTGCATCTTTACATTTCTCTCCTTCTTTATATTTAATGAAATACAGATTATATTAAGAAATATTACGTGAGTGCAACATACCTTTCATAATGTTAGTGTACTCAACACAAGTCAGTCTTTTGATAATATTTAAAAGTTTCCAGTTAATTTGCAGGTAATAAACTTTTCTAGAGCTACCCGAAACTAGAAAGAAATGTCTGATAAATTTAGTTATATTCATTTGAATGCTAAAGTATGATATATTAAAACATGTAGCCTTTTAGCAAAAATGCTACCTGATAAAGCTTATTCCCTTAAAAGGGGCATACTTCAGGCAGTTGTTTCAATGAAAAATGTGTCAGATGAATTGACACAAATGTATTTATTTAACTGATTTGGATTTTTTATGTCAATCCATTACTCTATTATCTTTTAATACACCAAAGTGTATCATTTGATGTAAACTTACAGTTTATTAGGTACTTAAAAATCACTCATTTCCTTAAAAGTGGGGTAGAATATATTAAATATTGTCGGCAACATTGAAAATACATACAGTAGTGACTAATAGGTATTTCCTCTACATCCATTTATTAAAATATATATTTATGTAAATATTGGGTACTTTTTGACATGTATATTTTATTTCACAAATATTTAAAAATTTGAAATAAAGCTATTAAAGCAAAGTATTTCTCTTCAAATTTGTCCAGGTCATCCCAATATTAACCTCTTAAATTAAGTAAATTTAAATTAAGTAAATTAAATATACACTATCCGGTCTAGCCATTGTGACTCCTATCTCCTCCCCTATTTCTTTTAGTGCATCTTCATTAATTCAATTCAATTCCTTTTTTTTTTTTTTTTTTTTTTTTTTTTAGGACTGATATGGCCCTGGCATCATGAGCTTTCATTCTTGTGTCTTTGCGACTTTTTTCAATCTATAAGGACTTAAAATTCTTTATAGAAAAGAGATTAAATTTTTTTGTTATTTCTTGGGAAACTGGCCAAGAAGGGACTGATAATCTTTCACATCATTTTCAGATTCCTCTTAAAGTCTTTTCGAAGTTTCAAATGTCACACAATTGAGCATGAATTATTGAGTGATAAACATCATTTTATTTGCATTATTTTCTATACTTTTGTTTAATTCCCAAGACATCTAAGCCTTTTCCCAATGCTATGACTTTTCCTTATCAATCGCAATGCTAATGTGACTTGTTTCCAATAGTTTTCAGTAAGGCTGTTTTGCCTATTGCCTAAAGATGCCCCAGCAGGTTCCTGACACTGTATGTCTTTTCATTCTTGTCTAATCTTGGTTAGATAGTTCTTGAGCTGTGTTAAAGAAAAATTGTATGGGGAAGTTAAACAGATAGGGAAGACTTTATTGTAAACTATTGAAATAAGCATCAAGATAACTTAGTTCTATTGAAACAAAAGGTGTAGTGAGCACGTGGGAAAATAGTGGAGAATGTTAGTGAGGAGGCTGGTCAATGTGATTATGCCATCTGTGTTTACTAATTGGTGCCCATCATAGTTAGAAGCCTAGCCTTCCACAGAGACTGTGAGACAGAGGAATTATCTTTTTAAATGATTCCATTTCAACGGGTTGGCTTCCAGGTTCCTGAGAAAAACATTTTTTTGGGTTGTGAAACTGGCCAGAGGCTGGGAGAAGATTTACATCTCAAAGGCGGAGAAAGAATTTACAATGTCAAGTTTTCTAAAGTAAATGCCCTAAAAAAAAGGAATGTCAGGGGCCTATAGTTAGGAAGAAAGCTGTTTAAACTTCAGTCAAGCTGAAGCAAAAACTTAAGGCAGTCTTGGTCAGATTCCATAATGAATTATTTCATGATTGCAGAAGCATCCCTCCAAAATGGGTGAACATTCCCTTTTATTCTCATCTCTATGGGTCCTCTGCCTCATTTCAAGAGTTAGACAATGGCCAAATTAGGATTAAACATTTTAAATAAAAGAAAAAAATCAGTAATGATATCATTTGATCCTATTTGGAACAATCTTAGAGATAATTATGGAGGAATTATTTATTAAATACCCAGTAGTTCTACTATAATTAAAAACGAAGTATGAAGTTTCTTCAACACTGTCAAATAAAATTTAATGACAAAAAAAATTCTGAACAAATTGTTTTTCTTCTTTGGGGAAAAATATTTATTCTTTAAGAGTATAGTAATTCAAGGCCATTTTTAAAATCCTAATCTTCTATGTCTGAGGGACTAAGGAAAGGAAGGGGTTTTAGTCCAGTTATATAGGTTATCAGGAATTAAAATACCAGTGAGAGGACACATTACAGAGAGGAGATTCCACATTCAGTGAAGGTGGAACAAGGCATGAAATAAAATAAACATAGGTTACTAGAAGGAAAGTATGTGCATTTTGACATAAACAGTTCATTTTTTCAGGGAACTGAATTTGGAAAGTGAGAAATCAGTAGATATTATACTTGGAAACTTCAAGTATTACTCCCTATCTCCACAACTAGACTAGTGCTGAATAAATAATATATATTGAACACTGGTTGATATTTCTTCCCATTAGAATAATACAAGGTTAAATGGCATGGTTAAGACAAATGCTAGTGTAGAAGGGATTTGGGGGAAAAAAAACAAAACAGTTTGTATTCCTGAGAAAGAGTGCACAAAAGAGGTGATGATTGTGAGTGGAAAGAACCTTAATGTTGCTCCTGCACTGGAGTAAGGTAAGAATACAGAATAATAATTTTTATGTTTTGAGTGCTGTGCCAGATAAATAACTTATTTAAATATTACAACAGAACATCATATTACACATTCAATGATGAGGTATGGAAAGACCAAGTAACTAACAAGTAGTCACATTGCTGGTGTGATTGTCTTAGTTATCGATAGTTTTAATGAACTTTGGCTATGATACTAAATGTATGGTTTCTTTGAATTTCTACATGTAGATCATTTATCTTGAGGACAAAAGTAAATCTGAAGAGCAACAGACCTTGAAACTGAAGTCTTCTCATTTTCTTTCGTATTCTACATATATTTCATCATAAGTTCCTCATGACCAGATAGTCCAGATATGCAGTCATGCATTGCTTGATGACAGGGATAAACTCTGAGAAATTCACAGTGATATGATTTTGCTGTTGCACAAACACCATAGGGTTTACTTACACAAATCCTGATAGTATCACCTACTACCTACCTAGGCAATGTGCAATACCTTATTGCTCCTAAGCTACAAACCTATACAGAATGTTACTGTTTTAAATACCATAACTAATTCTAACACAAGGGCATGTGTGTATCTAAACAAATCTAAACATAGAAAACCTATAGGAAAAATATGATACTGTAATCTTATGGGACCATCATATATATGCGGTCTGTCATTGATCAAAATGTCACTATGTGGTGGATAACTGTATTTAGAATTCAAATCACTTTGCACTACTTCTTCTGCCACCATTCTGTTCAGACCTACCATCACTTCATACCTAAATTAGCTTCTGTGTTCTTCCCTGGCTGTAGGGCCAGCTGCATAATTTCTGGAGCCCAGTGCAAAATAAAAATATACATACACAAAAAAGGTGGGGAAAGCAGTATCAGCCTTCCCTGCTGGGCCAGCTTCCAACCAACAAGCCAGTTGAGCCAGCCACATCAGTGAGCTCAGGAAACACCCCCTCAATGGCATAGCCAGCACAAATGTTTGCGAGAAATAGTAAATTCCTATTGTTTTACTCTTAAGTTTTGCATATGTGTTTTTATGCAACAATAGAGAAGATAGTGGTTTTCCAATTACAACAGCTTTTTTTTCCATAAGTGATTTTTA
The DNA here is from genome assembly GCF_000001405.40 of Homo sapiens. NCBI lineage: Eukaryota > Metazoa > Chordata > Mammalia > Primates > Hominidae > Homo > Homo sapiens. The sequence goes on along the minus strand of NC_000004.12, from coordinate 134,909,994 downwards.
AAATTCCTTCTCATAGGAGGAATTTTCATTCTATATCTCTTGAAATTGCATTTTTCTACATTGCATCTTTTTCTAACAAACAGCAATCATTTAAAAAATGGTGAGAGGAATTACAGAATAGCTGTGCATGAAATCCCATGGCTTTCTGTTTTGTTCTGTTTCATTTCTACCAGCATGAAGAAAGTTTCACAGCAACTTTAGTAACTTAACCCAAGCTTCTCTCCTTCTTTTGATCTCCCCCAGCCAGGTCTATTGAGAACTGAAATTTGAATTTAATTGTTTCATTATCAATGAGAATTTTCTCAGTCTATTTCAGAAGAACAGGTTTGAGAGACAAAATTCTGAGCCTATCTGAGAAATCATTTTCTCAAAGGGCCTGTATCTCTTCTAAAGCAAACAATTTGATCAATACTTAAAAGAAAATTTAACAAGGTTTTAAACAGAGTAAAAGTGATTTTACTGAGAACATATTTTTTCTCAGTTTGAAAGAGAATCAATTGGTGACTGTTATGATCTAAGAACTCCTCTTTGTTCTTTAATTTCCATGCTAATTGACAGATATAGAGAGTTGGATTAAGCATTTTTTAAAACATTACTTCAAATGCTAAAAGAAAGAATTTTAGGAGATATGATAACATTTTTTAAACTGACTGGAAAACATCAGTTACCTTTTCCTGGAGCATTTAATACTAATTTCATTTTTGTATTTAAAAATAGTTTATTAATGTATTATAAATCTATCTTTCATCCATTTTTAATGTTAATTTTTTATCATTATGTTTATATATTTTTCCTTTTAGCTTTGATGGTAATGTTTTAAATCTATAGTTCACAAATTAATGAATCATTAATATGAAACTAATAAATCTGTTAAAAAGACCTTCAGCAAGATGTATGTGCTTCACCTTAGATAAAACTAGTAACTTTAAAGTGTATATAAGTAACAGATATTTAAAGATAGTTTACTTATATGAAGCAGACATTCTCTTGCTTGTAAGATGCATGTTGTACTAAAGAGAGCAGGGCTAATGTCGATAAGTTGGGTGGTGGAGCTATCTAGACTACTATCAAATTGTATAACATTAACAAAACCACTTTATCTCTGAATAACAGTTTCCTAATGAAGGTGTATATAATCAGTTGCTTGGTGACCAGATTAATTGAAAATTTGTTAGAAAGTTTTAAAAAAATAAATTGAGAGCAAGAAGTTTTCCTCACATATCTTCTCCTTGAACAGGGAGTTATATTTTAAGTATTCCTCTCCTCCATTGAAGTGGAATGGAATTGTCCTAAGCTGTAGATTAAAAAATGCCTTAGTAGAGAAGTATTCTTTCTCTATTAAAACAGCATGAATTAGTACACATTACCATGCCAAAGGTGGCTATTGAGTCCTAAAAGAATTGACAATCTTTGCAGATATAGGCAGAAAAATTACAATTGCAATCATATCTCAGGCTGCTTTGTGTCCATCTCTACTTTTTTTTTGCTGGACAGATTGCGGATGGAGAGGAGAGACGATCAAGGCACTAACTTGTAGTCAATGCAAGTCATGCTTGTTTTTTCTGTTGTTTCATTTTAAGATTTTACCTTTTTATAATAGAGAACAAATTGGGAACCAATTGAAGCCTGGAGGATTTTGCAAAAAGTTAATGACGTTTTCTGGTTTTGCTTCTTTCTCATCAGATCTCTCACCCTCCTTAAATCATGTATGACCGGAAAAGCAGACATTTAGTGTCATTTGGGTTAAATTTAAGGTACCTGTGCCATACTAGGCACTGTCTGCTCAAGGGGAGAGATGGAGGCCAGGGATAGTTTTCAGTGTGTAAAGTGGAACTTAGTCAAGTTTCTGTGAATAATTGGAGAGGTAGGAATCATTGCTTCAGGTGAACAGATGCAGGTGCTTGCCTTGACAATTGGACTTTTGTCGTTTTTGGCATGCATCATTCTCGGCTAATAACACATTGGCACCTTCAGACTAATCCTGGGCAGTAAAATATGTCATAATGTGTTTTCTTATTTTACACAGACTGAGGATTTTACACTTGGGTAACACAACCACCTGAATGGGTGCATTTGCCAACACTGTGAACTCCAGACACATTTTGTTGAAACAAGTGGTATAAAGCCATGATCTGTGTGGAAATAAGATGGATAAATTATGGCGCAGAATCTCCCTGTAAAATTAAAAAGCACAAAAGACTCCGGTGTTCATTTTTATCTTAGACTAGTTTAAAAGTGGGTATTTTTCACGTTCCGGTTCAAATATAATAGGGACTTAATGAAAGTAAAATGATGACTTATACTTTTTTGAGTACAAAAAAATTACAAAATGTTAACCATGTTTATATTATGAAATATGTTTTATATGAATTTATAACTGTAATATTCAACTATTGAGCCATATTAGAACTATTTTCATCTGCACTCAAACAGTTATGGAAATTAGTCATGGAAGCACCTAGCAACTTTGTCAAAGGGCTAATTGGCACTCTTCTATGGAGATCTACTAGGACCCATATTGTTTCCATTCTCCTTCAGAGAAATAGCAAGTCTTTTAATTAAGAAAGATATGTGATATTCAGATTCTAGTAATTCCCCAACCTATGTGTCTGTAACATTCAGTGTAGATAAAACAAGACTGTGAAATTCTAGCTATCTAGATTAAGTCATGCATTTCTGTGCAAGTTTGAATAATTGATGATTTGAATCTAAACATGTGCAACATAAAAATGGCCTGAACACAGACACAATGTTGAAAATATAATTTCAAAGTCTCCTCATTTTTGAAATATGTAACATTATAACATACAGATATGCATGTGCATATCGTTTTATATGTAATATATGGCATTTTAATATAATTTCATATTTTAGATGTCATGTTATATATATGTATGTAAATATTTGTATGTTTATGACTAAAGGGAATACCATGAAAAATGTAAATAAATATCATCTTTGGGTATTGAGATTATTAGTTTTTTTTTCCTTTTCACAAGATGAACTATTTAAAATAATTAACTGAACTTCCAAAACACCAATAAAGACAACGCAGAACAACATGCACCAAAATATACTTGAAAGTAACAAATCCTATGGGCACAATTTTTGAAATTACAAAACCAAGGTCTCAGGATCAGCACTAAACAGGGCAGAGTTATTCTCTTAGATATGATTTGATCAGCATCTTATAGTGGTAATTTATGTTTAGTATTTATTTATGTTTTTCTGCCTTTTCTTATTCTATGTCTGTTTCTCTCTGTAATTATTAAAAATAAAGGAAGTTTAAAGTTTTTAGGACATATACGCCTTGACCCAACCATACTCTTTTCAAAAATGTTTAATAGGACAGTCTCAGTCAGGTGAGGGCAGCAAAGAGCAGAGAAAAAAGAAAGCCATTTCTCTATCCCTTGGGCAGAGTAGCTAGGGAACTGTTTGAAGCAGGACAAGCTTTGAGAGGAGTGAGGAGCAGAGACCAGGTGTAGGTGTGGCAATGACCCATGCAAGGGGCTTTAATCTCATAAGGATTTTGCACTTCATAGTTTTAGAAATAATAAGGTGGCAGCAACATGCATATTGAGTAAGCATGAAAGTTACTGCACGTGGTTTTCAAGCATCAGAAACCAAAGTCAGGAAAGCAAGATAATTTTAACAAGTCATTCAGACATTGGATGGATCTGCAAGTGCTAGTTTATTTTATCAGTGGTCCTTCAATGTCAGTCTATACTTGTAGATAGATATGTCTAGCCATAGCAAAGCCCTATACAATCCAAGAAAAGGAAAATGAGCATTAAATAGTACCCCATCATTTCAGCTTTTAATGCTGTGCCCCACTTACAGACTCACAGTTTGCCTTCGAGAGTTTCAGAAAAAATAAGAATTGTGTTCAGAAGGGAGGGGGCAACGTAACATTCCTCTATTGAAAACATTATAGTCCTTTTTTAGGGCATGCATTAAAAATGTATCAGTGACCATGACGTTAATAATGATAAGCAAAAAGAAAAAACTCTAAAAATTATTAGCAAAGGAGGCATCCTTAGAGGGACAAACATTTTATAGGCTGCAACTTAAAATTTAAGTGGACTCTCCAGAGGGTAAGGTTTGTTCTCTCTTAATGTAGCAGCATATTTTGTGAGAGAAGAGTATCCTTTAAAGAGCATAGTGGCCATTCTTCTGACTCCCCCAGAATACATATGAAAACATGTACCTAACTTACCTCAAAAAAAATCTGTTATTTTTCTGTTACTATAGTACACCATCGCTTTTGCAAATTACAAGCAGAGTACGTTATAGTTAATAATGACAGTGTATTTTATACCCCACCACCTTCAAAAAAAATCTGATACCTTTCTGTTACTATAGTTCACCATCCCTTTTGCAAACTACAAGCAGAGTAAGTTATAGTTAATAATGAAAGTGTATTTTATACCCAAGGTTACACTAGAGGAGAAAAATATGTTAATTTTTTTAAAAAAACCCACTTACATTCTGAGTTAAGTATTCCAAAAAGAATAACATGCATATTTAAGAAGTGATAAAGCATTGCAGATTATGTCTAAAATATCCATCAAACTTTAGTTTTAATCTTATTTTCATATATTATATGTTAACAGTGCAATTTTTTTTTGTAATAAATCAGCAGGCTCCACTTTTTATGTTTTCTGACAGATTTCAAGCCCCATCCCTCCTTCTTTCCCTCTTGCTCCATTCCTGGGCTAGTCAATAAGAAAGCCCAGGTGCTCCCTCATTTGGCATAGGTGGGAAGTACAAATCATGGAAATCGTGTAAGCTCCCATCTCTATCCAAAATCACCATAAAATCTCACTTACTCTCACTTTGTCTCCCAAGCCATGTTTGAACCTGCTTGGGAGCTTTCTCTGCTTTCCACAGATAGCACCATTACATGAATAAAAGTCATCTTCATATCCTCTTGGTGCTGTGTGTCATCATCTGTCTTGACATCCAAATCAAATTTGGGTTGATGGGCTTATCCTTCTTCCATGGCATGATGGTTAATTTTTATAAATCAACTTGACTGGGTTAAGGGATGCCCAGATAGCTGACAGTTTTTTTTCTGGATCTTTCTGTCAAGGTGTTTCTATAGGAGATTAGCAATTGAATCAGTAGATCAAGTAAAAAAGATCCCTCACTATTGTGGGTGGGCTTTATCCCATCCTTTGAGGGCTCAAACACAAAAAAGAAAAAAAAAAGACAGACGAATGACCAATTTACTACTCTCTCTGTTTGAGCTGAGACATCCATTTTTCTTGGCTCTCAACCATAGGTGCCCTTGGTTCTTGGGCATTTGGAATGAAACCAGGATTCACAACCCAAGCCCCTAATCCTCAGGTCTTCCAGCTACATCACTGGCTTTTCTGGTTCTTCAGTTGTGCTCATGGCACATCATGACACTTCTTGGCTTCCATAACCATGTGAGCCATTTTCCATTAAAAACCTCCTTAAATATATCTCTCTATCTACCAGCTATCATCTATCTATCTAACTATCTATCCATCTATCTATCGTCTCCTATTGGTTCTTTTTCTCTGGATATCCCTAATACACTTAGTGTGACTGCAGTATATTCTTTTCAGTGGACATGTTTGTTTCATTTAATGCTGTTTAGATTTTCCTAAGATATTTTAATAATACTTTGCAAGCATCATTATTTTAAGATATGATTTTTAAGAAGAAATTTGGAATTATTAGCTAATTGCCTTCTCTTAGCTTTTGAGATTATTTGCTCTTGCTTCTCTAGTTCTTTTATTTGTGATGTTAAAGTGTCAATTTTAGATCTTTCCTGCTTTCTCCTGTGGGCATTTAGTGCTATAAATTTCCCTCTACACACTGCTTTAAATGTGTCCCAGAGATTCTGGTACGTTGTATCTTTGTTCTCATTGGTTTCAAAGAACATCTTTATTTCTGCCTTCATTTTGTTATGTACCCAGTAGTCATTCAGGAGCAGATTGTTCAGTTTCCATGTAGTTGAACAGTTTTGAGTGAGTTTCTTAATCCTGAGTTCTAGTTTGATTGCACTGTGGTCTAAGAGACAGTTTGTTATAGTTTCTGTTCTTTTACATTTGCTGAGGAGTGCTTTACTTCCAAATATGTGGTCAATTTTGGAATAAGTGCAAGGTGGTGCTGAGAAGAATGTATATTCTGTTGATTTGAGGGGGAGAGTTCTATAGATGTCTATTAGGTCTGCTTGGTGCAGAGCTGAGTTTAATTCCTGGATATCCTTGTTAACTTTCTGTCTCATTGATCTGTCTAATGTTGACAGTGGGGTGTTAAAGTCTGCCATTATTATTGTGTGGGAGTCTAAGTCTCTTTGTAGGTCTCTAAGGACTTGTTTATGAATCTGGGTGCTCCTGTATTGGGTGTATATATATTTAGGATAGTTAGCTCTTCTTGTTGAATTGATCCCTTTACCATTATGTAATGGCCTTCTTTGTGCCTTTTGATTTTTGTTGGTTTAAAGTCTGTTTTATCAGAGACTAGGATTGAAACTCCTGCTTTTTTGTTTTCCATTTGCTCGGTAGATCTTCCTCCATCCCTTTATTTTGAGCCTATGTGTGTTTCTGCACCTGGGGATGCAAGGCTGTTTCAACATACACAAATCAATAAGCGTAGTCCATCACATAAACAAAAACAAAGACAAAAATCACATGATTTCCTCAATAGATGCAGAAAAGGCCTTCGACAAAATTCAACAGCCCTTCACAATAAAAGCTCAATAAATTAGGTATTGATGGGACGTATCTCAAAATAATAAGAGCTGCTTATGACAAACCCACAGCCAATATCATACTGAATAGGCAAAAACTGGAAACATTCCATTTGAAAACTGGCACAAGACAGGGATGCCCTCTGTCACCACTCCTATTCAACATAGTGTTGGAAGTTCTGGCCAGGGCAATCAGGCAGGAGAAATAAATAAAGGGTATTCAATTAGGAAAAGAGGAAGTCAAATTGTCCCTGTTTGCAGATGACATGATTGTATATTTAGAAAACCCCATCGTCTCAGCCCAAAATCTCCTTAAGCTGATAAGCAACTTCAGCAAAGTTTCAGGATACAAAATCAATGTGCAAAAAGCACAAGCATTCTTGTACACCAATAACAGACAAACAGAGAGCCAAATCATGAGTGAACTCCCATTCACAATTGCTTCAAAGAGAATAAAATACCTAGGAATCCAACTTACAAGGGATGTGAAGGACCTCTTCAAGGAGAACTACAAACCACTGCTTAACGAAATAAAAGAGGACACAAACAAATGGAAGAACATTCCTTGCTCATGGATAGGAATAATCAATATCGTGAAAATGGCCCTACTGCCCAAGGTAATTTGTAGATTCAATGCCATCCCCATCAAGCTACCAATGACTTTCTTTGCAGAATTGGAAAAAAAAAACTACTTTAAAGTTCATATGGAACCAAAAAAGAGCCCACATCGCCAAGACAATATTAAGCAAAAAGAACAAAGATGGAGGCATCACACTACCTGACTTCAAACTATACTACAGGGTTACAGTAACCAAAATAGCATTCTACTGGTACCAAAACAGTGATATAAACAGGAACAGAACAGAGCCCTCAGAAATAATACCATATAACTACAACCATTTGATCTTTGACAAACCTGACAAAAACAAGAAAGGGGAAAGGATTCCCTATTTAATAAATGGTGCTGGGAAAACTGGCTAGCCATATGTAGAAAGCTGAAACTGGATCACTTCCTTACACCTTATACAAAAATTAATTCAAGATGGATTAAAGACTTAAATGTTAAACCCAAAACCATAAAAACACTGGAAGAAAACCTAGGCAATACCATTCAGGACATAGGCATGGTCAAGGACTTCATGACTAAAACACCAAAAGCAATGGTAACAAAAGCCAACATTGGCAAATGGGATCTAATTAAACTAAAGAGCTTCTGCACAGCAAAAGAAACTACCATCAGAGTGAAAAGGCAACCTACAGAATGGGAGAAAATTTTTACAATCTACCATCTGACAAAGGGCTAATATCCAGAATCTACAAAGAACTTAAACAAATTTACAAGAAAAAATCAAACAACCCCGTCAAAAAGTGGGCAAAGGATACGAACAGACATTTCTCAAAAGAAGACCTTTATGCAGCAACAGACACATGAAAAAATGCTTATCATCACTGGACATCAGAGAAATGCAAATGAAAACCGCAATGAGATACCATCCCATACCAGTTAGAATGGCGATCATTTAAAAGTCAGGAAACAGCAGGTGCTGGAGAGGATGTGGAGAAATAGGAACACTTTTACACTGTTGGTGGGACTGTAAACTGGTTCAACCATTGTGGAAGTCAGTGTGGCGATTCCTCAGGGATCTGGAACTAGAAATACCATTTGACCCAGCCATCCCATTACTGGGTATATACCCAAAGGAATATAAATCATGCTGTTATAAAGACACATGCACACATATGTTTGTTGTGGCACTATTCACAATAGCAAAGACTTGGAACCAACCCAGATGTCCATTGATGATAGACTGGATTTAAAAAATGTGGCACATATACACCATGGAATACTATGCAGACATAAAAAAGGATGAGTTCGTGTCCTTTGTAGGGACATGGATGAAGCTGGAAACCATCATTCTTAGCAAACTATCACAAGGACAGAAAACCAAACACCGCATGTTCTCACTCATAGGTGGGAATTGAACAATGAGAACATTTGGACACAGGGTGGGGAACATCACACGCCAGGGCCTGTCGTGCAGTGGGGGGAGGGGGAGGGATAGCATTAGGAGATATACCTAATGTAAATGATGAGTTAACAGGGGCAGCACACCAATATGGCACATGACACACAGCACACCAACATGACACCAACGTAGCACACCAACATGACACACAACATGACACATATATATGTAACAAACCTGTTCATTGTGCACACATACCCTAGAACTTAAAGTATCATAATAATAAAAAAAAGCTTTTTAAAATGAGTATTTCTCCCTTTTTTCTTTTTGCAATTAGAATGTTTACATTTATTTAACATTATGAAAATAAAGTTCAATATGTTAATATCACACATAATTTAGATTATTACCAAATAAGAGTTAAAAGCTTGTTTTAATAAATAATGTGAAATGAGTATATCTTGTTTCTATTCTGTGAAGGCTTTTTCTCTATTACATTCACTGCATATTGATTTTGATATTTAAATTTAATAAAGACAATAGCCAGTTTAGAAAGCCAAGAAGCTTTCTAAAATGTTGTAATAGATTATACTGGTTATTCTAACCCATTTTATACCACATTATTTCAACCTAATATACAATGGCTAGATAAATTATTTTGTTTGAGATACTTTGTTTCATGTAAAAAAAAATAAAAGAACATACTCTCACAGAGATTATAAAAACTATTCATAATCCAATGTACTTTGAATTCTATAGTGGTTGCCACATTATGTTGCTTAAAAAACAGACAAATTTAATTTTGAATACAATAAAAACCTACACATTTAAGCAGATATAATTATAAAAGTTCAGATAAATTTTGAATAATTTGGAATACTTTGATACAACAAAAATGGAAGGAATGTAATCAATTATCCTATTATTTTAGAAAAAAATAAATTGCATATACATATTATCAAAGAAATATTTAAATTAAACTCATCTTTTATTTTAAAAATTGGTTTCATTATTAAAATATGACTGCAAATAGATTAAATATAAGTTATTATAATTTACATTTATAAATATGCAATTATAATCATAAATATCAATAGCAATTTTGCCAGAATGTGATAAAGGAGAATAAATATAATTAAAATATCTGTTACATTTCAATGAAATTATTATTTAAAGATGTGAGTGATAAACTCATTATTAGGGGAAATGTTGAAGACAGTAGTAACTAAGGAGATGTTTAAAAGAGCTTGTCTTTTTCTTCTGATTTTCCAGGAGGAAATGAGAGAGCAGATGGTCTTTTCTAATTTGGTTCACTCCAGATCAACATGAAAGATGAAACAAATAAGAATAAATGAAAACAATCATACTCCATAAAATATAAATTTATTCTAGGAAAAAAATGACTTCCTGTTAGTCTTTATCACTTTACAATATTAGTATCCACAAAACTTTTCTGAATTGTAACTTGCCATCTTTTTAAGAAGACTTTTAAAATTTCTTATATGTATCGTTTGAATCAATGGTCAAGGGGTGTCAGAGAAGACGTACCATGCTCTTTAAAATATAATCTACTTTCACAAAATATGCTGCGACATTAGGAGAGGATAAACCTTACTCTATACATGGGCAAATGGCACGTGGCTCAGGAATCAAACTTTGAATAGGCCTAAATGTAACAAGTATAAACTTTGGTTAATTCTTCTTTGTATGTTATTATCGTCATTTCAAGGAATGATAGCTGTGTGTTCATATCACAGGCCTGTACTTCTCCGAATTTCTGGTTATTATTCTATATTTATGGTGGATTATTTTTGGCCTCTAAGCAGACATCATACTCTCCTATTCTTTCATAAAAACTTTAGAGAAGTATTTTACCTCCTACTCTATGAGAAATCATTATTTCACCAGGGGGTGGTTTTACTACCCTCTGAAAAACATAGAATCAGAAAAAAGCTGAAATAAAGTAGCATGCATGTTTTTCTTTTTCTGTAAGTATAAGTTATAAATAAAGAAGTATGATGCCTGTTCTTTTCTTCATTTGTATTTTCTGTAAGCAATTGAAATTATATGAATAGTAATTTTCACGCAAATATTTTATGATTAATATTAAAGGAAATAATCATTTTTGCCTATGTGTATGTGCATGTGTGACTGAAAAATTAAGATAAATTTTACTGAAATTCTGACATACAAACACTATATCTGTGATAATGCATTTCATGAACCTATGCAATTCTTGAGTCCTCATAAACACATTTTTTGTATTCAATAAGCATATAAATAATGTTCTGTTCTGGAAATAAGAAAAAGTTTGCAAAATAACCACTGTTGTACTATAATGACAATTTCAGAATTTATCACAAAGAAAATTGATTATTAAGAAATTTGAACTGCATATCTCACTGGTCTTTATATTAGAAATACTATTTGCTGCATGCCTTTATGTATCAAAAAAGAATAACACAAAATTTCAATAAGTATATATGCATTATAGAGGTTAATACATAACAAATATGAAGGATTATAATTTGAAAAAAAACTTATTTGAGGATAATCCATAATTTGAGAATTTAAATAACTTACTTTATCATAGAGAAAGGATTTTCAGTATTTCTTCCCAAACATATTGAACTGTTTGCATAATATGCTAACATATAGATGAATAAGTTATCGCTGTTAACCTAGGGAAAGGCTAAACTCTTTCCTGGTTGGGGATTGCCAGTGGTATTCAATGCCCCATTCCATCCACCAGAGATCTCAGCATATTCCTAACAGCTTCCTTCTGAAGTCAAATCAATCAAGCCTTAACCTGCTGGAATTTTTGGAGTTCAGATAACTTTTCCATATTAAAATTTTTTAAATCCTTGAGTGCTCTAAAATGATCACACCTTGGTTTCTCATTTTTACTGCTCTCTTCTATTCATTCCTCCCTGATCTAATCTCCCCGCCCCAAGCACTTCTCAATCTGCTCACTGATACACCTGATATTAGTTAAAATAAAGTCGCCATACATTTTCAGAATCTTCTCAGAATGGGCATAATATAATCCTGCCTTTGCTCCAAAAAAATTACATCCCCTGCAAACAAACCTATTACTTTCTTGCTTCTACAGCTTTGGTTGCTATCTCATCTATTTTGGGAATATGAAATGGGACATGGTTCCAAGGTCCCCTAAATTTTATTTCAAGACCATGGTGAAACCAACTCTATCTGCCTATTCTATGTTCTTTTTCACGCTCTTTATCTTATTAACCAATATTGTCATCTGACATTCTCATTGGTGGACTACTTGGGAAATCCAGCTCCGTCATTTTGTCCTCTCAAACGCCTTCAGAATTAAACTTTCCAAAAGTCGTTCCATTTACATTATCTAACTTAGTCACACTGTTTACTCTGCCAATTCAATTAGTTTTCCCTCTGACTTATTTTGATAATGGTTCTCTCCAAGGCTAAGATACAGTTGCAAACTGCTTAGCAAAACTTTCAGTCATTAAAATCTACCTGATCCTTGCATATCTCTTTAGCCACTTCATACAGTTTGCCACTCTCTCTGGTTTGGCGAATTTGCCTTGATTTTAAATACTCTGTGTGCTTGGTGCTTCAATTAGGAAAAATATAACTGTCATATTGGAGGCCCAAAGATATAATAACTTAAAAAAGAAAAAAAGTGTTTTTGGTTTATTAAACTTTAGAGGAAGACAGTCCATCCAATTTTCTTTCATAAAATTCTCGGGCACCAAAGTGTTTTCTCTGGATTTTTTTGTTTTTATTTGTTTGTTTTGTGTTCACTTTTCACGGCCTCTCTTTCTGAGGTCCTCTCACTTGTTTAAGCTGCTCTAGTTCCAATCATGAGGAGAAAAGAGAGCATTGTCTTTTAAAGAATATTCTTGGAAGCTGCAATGTCACTTTTATACCATGTCCATAACTAGATGCAATGGGGAGGTCTTATACTATGAGAAAACTTAGATTCTCTGCTTCATATAATTTGAAGCATTTTTCCCAAGGGTTTTACACATAATTACTAAACTAATGACCCGAGGTCTTTTGGGAGTCTCATAATATTTAACATATATACATTTTTTGATCATCAGCCCTGTGAGAAATACCAGTGTGTGGTTGTGTAAGGAAGGTAAGTAAAGCAAAAGAATTTCTATTCTAGTAAAAAAGAAAAAGTTGAAAACAACTACAGGCATCAAGTCAGACATCAAATACATGATATAAAATAGTGGCAAGCATGTACTAAGCAGAATAGCACAGGGCAAATTAGCTACCATGTTTAATTTTTCTCACCCTGTGGTGTCATATGATTGCTTTTGATGAACAAATTATCTTTTTTCCTTTTCACTCTTAGCCTTTGCCTTCTTTTGGAAATGTTCTTCAAGTAAACCAACCACATATCCCTATACTCGATACCTTCTTGAGGACTGCTTTACTCTCTTAATCCCATTATTAAGGGCAGATTTACACACACTACGTTTTACCATTTTAATGTTTATCCATTAGCACATGTCCTTTGGCGCTGCATCATAGAACTGATCACAGAAACCTATGAGGTTATTTTTTTCACTTCACATTCTCTCCTTGAGAGTCACATCCACGTCATTAGAGACTCAGTCTAAATTGCAGCATTGTTGATGTAGGAAGAACCACAACATGTCACCTTACCCAGCTCTTGCTTTACAAATTTGCAAACAGAGTCCCACTGATTTATTTAGAACCTTAAATTAATTTTGCAAATTCTCAATTCAGGGTATTTTCCAGCCTTTCTAAAGAACCTGTCTTTGGCTGATCTGGTCTATGAAATCAAAACCTGAACTTCAAAGTATATTCAGATAAACTACAAATGAGTAATATATAATGCATATTTGAACTATTTTTCTTCCATATTTAAAATAAGATAATTGAAATGATAACAGTTTTAGAACTCATGGAGTTTTATTATTAAATAATACTTCTTTTTAGGTAGAGCATATTCTTGATAAAAAGAGGTGCTATTTTAGAATCCTGCATGAAAGGGTTGCTGGATGTTTATTCATTAGGATAGAAACACTAAATTGGATAACTTCACCATATTTCTGGGTAGAGAAATAAGAGATAACCCAAATTCCTATTCACCATTAAGTTAGTTTCATTTTTTTACTTAATCTTTTAATAATGGGGCCACTTATAATATCATCCCCTATGTCAAAGTCACTTATATATAGTGAGTTAGCTCTTAGAATTACTGTAATAGATTTATTTAGTTTCATTTAGCAAAAGACTAAATATTTGAAAGATATAATGATATAGTTCATATGTTTATCCATTCAGCTGTATTATTACATACTAGGTAAATGTTGGAAACTGAATATTAGCAAAGGTTTTATATACACAGACACATATATAAATATATAAATATATATTATATATATATAAAATATATATTTATATATATATATGAGGATTGAGTTTGATAAAGGGATAAAAAATTGGAATGGAATTTAAGAAACATTGGATCTAGTATTTTCTGTAACTGAATGATTGTTGTCCACTGATGTCAACTCTGTGGGTATTATTTCTTTATTTGATAATGAACAAGCTTGGACAACTTTTCAAAGGTACTTTGAGCATCCATTTATCACCATTATCTAGCGATTTCTAGGAACCCCTGTAATAAGCTAGGTTCTAGAAGTACAAAGAGGAATGAATCCTGCTGCTGTCATTTAAGATCCATTTACTGTAGCAGAAGAATGAGGAAGAACTATCATACATGGAGGCACACTGACATTCCACATATTGTTCCACAAGCTGGCAATCATATTTCAGGACCTGGTAATAAGCTTCAGATGTCCAGAAGTTCAATTTCATTAGCCCACCTGAAGACAAGTCTCTTTGGAGTTTGACCTTCTAATAAAATGTACATGGTGTTGATGTATGAATCAGATGGAGAATTTATTAATCTAGAGTGAAAATATAAACCATATATTAACTATAACATTGAATTTAATTGACCTATCCAATTTTTTTATATCGAAGACATTACATGGGAAACTGAATTGTAATCTGAAAACTGCTTGTTGAACATGGAAGCAGAGTAATAGGCAGGTGCATTTGTAAAGATATATAATTACATAGTGAACCAAAATATTTTCATGAGTTTATACATCTCAAAATAGCTGGTCCACTATTTTATTTTTTCCTGGTTCTGAGAGATAAGGAATGTGTGTCAGAATGTAAATTGAAATCTCAACTGATCTGAGTGGTATTCTACTGGTCTAAATTATAACTCAAGCACTTTTTATTATGGTGGACCAGTAACATACTTTGCAGCCTACACTTTAAGTAGCACTATAATAGATGGCCAACCACATGAAGCAATAAAAACATAATAATTGTAATTTGCAATTTTATACCTGTTTTTTTCAGGTTTCATACTTAAAATACTTGACCTGGTGATATGGTTTGGCTGTGTCCCCACCCAAATCTTATCTCAAATTTTAGCTCCCATAATTCCCAGATGTTATGGGAGGAACTTGGTGGGAGATAATTGAGTCATGGGGGTGGTTCCCCCATACTGTTATCATGGTAGCAAATAAGTCTCATGAGATCTGATGGTTTTATAAAGAGTTTCCCTTTTCACTTGGCTTTCATTCTCTCTGTGCCTGCCACCATGTAAGATATGCGTTTCGCCTTCCACCATGATTGTGAGGCCTCCCCAGCCATGTGGAACTGTAAGTCCATTAAACTTATTTTTCTTTATAAATTACCCAGTCTCAGGTATGTTTTTATCAGCAGCATGAAAACAGACTAATACACCTGGTAACAAGGTCTTTTGTCAGGGTACTTGGGGTCAGGTACAGTGCCTCACACCTGTGATCCTAGCCCTTTGGGAGGTGGAGGCAGGGAGTTCTCTTGAGGTCAGGCATTCTAAAACAGCCTTGACAACACTGCAAGACCCCATTTCTTAAAAAACAGTAAAAATAGCTGGGTGTAGTGGCTTGTGCCTTTGGTGTCAATTACTTGGGAGGCTGAGGTGGAAGGATCATAGGAACCTGGGAGTTCAAGGCTACAGTAGTGGGCTATGATCATGCCACTGCACTCCAGCCTGGAAGACAGAGTGAGACCTTGTCTCTAAAAAAGCAAACAAACAAAGAACAAAATATAAATCACACAAAAATGAAATTATTAGTAATAACATTTTTATTATTACATTCATATTACCAACATAAGTATTCATAAATTTCTTTACCCTCAGTAGCAGATGTTTCAAATCTGCTTCCATAATAGCTGTCCCAAATGCTAACTTTCAGCACTCACTTCTTTTTACCTAAGGGCTTTCTTTGTGCACCAGAGCCCTCTCTGCCAACGTACAGTGCGAGAGAAGCACAGGCTGAGAATTCTGGGGAATTACTGCCCTGTAAGTGCTGCCTTCAGCTAATGACTGTCATAAGTTTGTGGAAAATGCTTACCTCATTCTGGTAAATCTTGGGCCTGTGTTCTAAACAGTTTTCCAAAATTCTCCAGCAGAATTGAGTCCTATTTGCCCACAGTGGTATCTTGCTTGCACCGTTTATTGGCTTCTTCCTCTTTTCCTTAGGGTGTTATTTCCTTAGGGTTTTAATCATGTTCATGGAATTTCTTCCCAAACAATCTATTTGCACTCTATTATGTGTCTCAAGGTCTACTTCTGGGAGAACCAAAATTATGATATCTATCCATTCACAAATGACCCATCGAGCTATTTATATAATTGAATAATTTAAAGTGTTTTATTTCATTTCTTACTAATTTAACAAGTTACTGTTCAAGGGTCTTAACAATGTGTTCTGTGTACTGGCTTTAAAATTTAGTTCAAGTAAAGCATAAAGTTTCAAATGACAGTTTCACATTGTGTTTAGATAATAGTGTTTTAGACACTGGGAAGGTGAGGTCACTGGAGACTGGTGGTGATAAAAAAAAGATACTTCACAAATTGGAACTTCAGCAAGGTTTAAAAATATATATGTATCTATGTATACACATGCATTTGGGGGGCTTATATACAATTTTGACTGCACTGGGATAATATACTGAGGAGTTTGAGGATGGATTTGAAAAGTGAAGAAAGCATATTGCAAGAATTATGAACAGGCCTGAGAGTAAAGCATCCTATATGCAACGGAGCACTACTGATGGATTTTACAATATAGAAATACCATATTTTAAATGATGCTGTAGTCTTGGTACATAAATCTAGTACCAGCAAATAGCATCAGCATGGCTGTGACTCAGAAGAGAAGCTGGGGTAAAAGATAGCTTATTTTAAAACTATAGAGCAGAAACATTTTTCTAAGTAACCCAATACCTGGACATGTCACGTCCAGGGCTTAGGCACATCTCAAGAGGAAATGAACATATTGGAAAAAATAGATTAAAGAGATATTAATGATCAGGCAAAGATTGTCTTTAAACAAGACATTAACTAGGCAATAAAGGGAGATCTAAGCATGTGAGCATCACATATCATCACATGTGAACAGTGTCCCTAGAAGCCTGGAAATCTGTTCTCTTCATGGTTTAGATCCAAGTAATACAAACTCCATGAAGATGGGTTAGATTAGCAAATAAGACCATAATTCCAGAAGAACAAATCTACTAAAAAGGTAAATTGACAGGAACTTAGGCACAGGAAGGCAGGCACTGGAAGCAGACAGATAAAGTGGTGGTAAAGGTCTGACTAAATTCAGAACAAGAGCAAGATATAGACATTTACTTTAACAAAAGGAAAACACCAAGGCAGCATCAGAAATATAGAAAGGAAGTCCAGGATAGAGGTCATTGATAAAAATATAACTTAATTTCATACACAAGTGATTTAAAATAAAATGTATACATATATGGTTCATTGCAGTATTTTATTCATTCAGTAGAACTATAAAAGTGTATTTCCTCCAGGGAAAGTATTAAAGTGTAAAGGTGATACATAAAAATATATCATTACATCATTATTATAGTATATAGCAAAACGTAGTAGAAGAGTGATACAATGTGTTGAGTGATTTACAGCTCATGCAAGAGATAGACTGTGTTTAAATCTTAGCTATGTCATAGCTAAAGTGACTTAAATTCACTAAGCTTTTAGACCCTTATTTGGGGGATTAAAATAAAATAGTATATGCAAAGTTCTTAGCACAAAGCCTCGTATTAATGCCCACCAGATGGAGACCACAGGAGTCACCTAGCATCAAAGTTGATTTACTAGCTTGCTGCAGTAAGGGAGAAGCCATGCCATGGGAAGACGTAAAGTATATCAGTAAGGAGGATTTAGAAGAGATATTACAGAGTTTTGGTTTAGAGAGGGTTTAAAGAAGTGAAGGTTTATTCTAGATTGTATCCTCTCAGAGGTGCAGCCAATTTCATAATCAGGTGTCAATTTTTATTTGGGATACTAGAGGAACAAAGCATGGCTAGTATTAGCATAAGTGAATAACAGTAGTGACATGTTTTAGTCAAAGAAAAGCCATGGTTAGGTATTTTTCTGATTGTATTGTACCATTCTCTTTGCGCTCAGATGTGATTACTGAGTGGTTTTGTTTTTGTCTTGTTGTGCCATGGCCACAGAGTGGTCCTGATAATTATCCTGGATGTTTTATGAAAAATCTTCATGTTCAGGAGTGTGGTAGGCTGGCTTCTAAAATGGTTGCCAAAGATTCATGCCTACTGGTCTTCAGGTCCTTCAGTAATTTGTTCCCTTTGGTGTGGTCTACCTAGTAACTTGCTTCAAATAAACAGGCTATGTCAAAAGTGATAGGATGTCACTTCCAAGATTAGCTTATGAAGCCTGTGACTCCCATCTTGTTAGCAGGATGCTAGCTCCTTCATGCTCTTTCTCTTGACTTTTAGGCTCGTTCTCTTTGAGGAAGAAAGCTATCATGTTGGAGAGGCTCACATGGCACGAAAGAGAAAGCAGTCTCTAGTCTACAGCCAGTGATGAATTGGGGTCCTCAGTCCAGGAGCCCACAAGGAAATAAATCCTTCTCACAATCACTTGAGCTAGGAAGGATATCTTTCCCCAGTGGAGCCTGAGATGACTACATCTCTGGCCAACACTTTGATCGCTGCCTGAGAGAGATGATGAAGCAGAGGACCCAGCTACTCTGCACCAGGATTCCTGATCCACAGCAACTATGAGGTAATAAATGTTGCTTCAAGCCTGTGAGTTTGGGAGAAATTAGCTACCATGCAAGAAGGAGTTAACTCAACAGGTATGGGTTGCTGGGACCTGGGACATTGCCAAGAAAGGCCTGTCCCTTGGCTGGCTCCTGAGGGATGAACTCTAAGCCTTTGGACTATTTTGGCTGATAATAATGCTTTTGTGTGTCTTAGGCATTGGACCACATAATACAAGTTTGATCATACAATTTATGCTAATATGTGATGTATGATGAACATCTGATTTTGCTCTGGGGGTGGGGGTAAAATCTTGAATGGCTGCAGTCAGTTCTGCAGATCCCCAATAAATGACTCCCAGTAAAAACCCCGAGCATCAAGGCTTCCTGGTCAATAACAATTTGCATGTGTGTCACACGTTCCTGTGAAATTAAAGGATGTTTGTGAGACCCCACTGGGGAAGAATACCTGGAGGCTTGTGCCTGCTTTCCCCTGGACTTCTTGCCATGCACCTTTTCCTTCTGCTGAGTTTAATTTATATTCTTGCACCATAAACATGAGCAAAGCAGCTATTCTGAGTCCTGTGAGTTCTAGCAAATCATTGAGACTAAATGTGGCCTCAGCATCCCCAACACAGTTACAAAGCAAAGATTAGCTGTCTGCTGTCAGGTTCCCTAACTTAAACAATTTCCAACAGCATATATTAAATGCACACCAAATATTGACATAGTAATTTGCAGTAAAGGTATTCAACTGTACCTCTTGAAATCACAAAAGGCTTCCTAGGAGATAAGTTGTTGGCTAAGTTTTATATGAGCATTTAACAGGCAGCTAAAGGGGAAGTCAATCCATACTGAATGAACAACTACAAAAGCCAAAAAAAAAAAAAAGAAAGAATATGGGATATTTATGTAATTCCAACTCTTTCCACATTAGAAAGGCTTAAATAAGCATGTCTTCTGTAAGGTAAAAAATGAAATGTTATGAGAGGAGAAATGTGGAACCTGTAAAGGACCTATTTAAGTTTCAGTTGATAACCTTTTTCAAAATGTTTTTTGCAGGCCCTGCAGGGTAAACTACATTTAGATCACAAACTAGAACCTCCCCTTTTAACTAGAACCTGGCTAACACAGGCTCAACTGACTTTCTTCCTCTCCTATCTCAACCTTTTGTTGTTTATCAGAAAAATGTAAATATGGAGTTTCAAGTACTTCTAATGCTATTTTCATGACTATTTATATTTTTAATAATTATAAAATATTTTAATAGCTTTCAAATCACTTTCCCCCTGTAAATAAGGTTTCTGAATACAAAACAGGTCATTAGAACTAAGCATGTTTATTAATTGAGCTATTATAGTGCTCTTTTATTCTTAAAATGATTCTCTCTCCTTACCCATTTGAATTGCATTTTTTTCTATTGAGCATAACATTACAGTGTCACAGATTTGTTAGAAAACTACAATCTTTTCTTGATTCTATATTTACGAGATAAAATTTTTTAAAATGAAATTTGAGCTTCACTTATGAAAACAGATTTAATTATTGCTTTATATATTCATTTGAATTGAAAAACAATGTATTTTAAAGATTTGTTCAGCTATATTTTACTAGACTTATTCTTGTATAAAATGAGATTGCTTTAGGATTTGTATTGCCTAGTATTTTTCTGGCATATGGATTTAAAGATTTAAAAATATTGTATACTTAACAGATGTTGCAAATGTTTTCCTTAATGGGTTTTAGTTTTTTAAAACCTCTTTAACACACTCTCATACTGAGTCCCTTGCAGGACCTATTTAATTTTCATGTGTTAACAATTAAATAAATTCAGCCGTGAACCACATTGCCCAGTATCTAAATAGAATCATCTCTTTTGAACATAATATTAAATTTTAAAGAACTATACATTTCTCACAGAAAGATATATGGGGAAATAAGTTACTGCTAAAATATTTTCAAAACTTCTACTACTCAACAAAGTAACTAAACTGAGATTATTTTCTTCTGTACATGATTTTTATTTGGTTTTCATTGTTTTGTTCTTGCTGTTTGTTTTAAATATTTTATTATAAAAATTTTAACACATTTTACATTATCGGTCTTCACTTCTCTGTTTTTTAGAAATTTAGGTGCAATTTATAAAATTCCACACAGGTTGTTTGACATATAGTACAATTTCCAAGAACATTACTTAATGTTAGTTTAATAATATTTAAAATAATTAATACCATATATTGGACACAACAGAAGGTGATAAACATGGCATAAAGAAATTAAGGAAAATATATCTCTAATTTTGACATATATAATATTGATAATATATTTCTACATTATTAAGTTGAAAAACATAATAGCCTGTTATATGTAAGTGATAACAAACAAAATGTTACCAGCAAGGTTACAATTATCCTCATGGTAAACACAAAAAATAAATAACATTTCAGAGGGGAAATATATACACATATGTATACACATACATATATGCATGTGTTAATATATGCATAATAAATATACACACGAACAATTTGTAAAAATGAGAGGTGCATCAAAAATAAATATCAAAATCCTTGGATGCTATATGGTACTTTGAGATCATACATGGATTTACTAGATTAGCAGCTTTTCCATTTAATCCTCTTGCTCTCACAATTATAAATCTAGTTCTAAGAGAAAAGAACAAACTTTTTCCTTCCATTTTGCAGCTCTGGCAGTCAATAAGGCTACTTTGTTTCTGTCACTACATGTTATATCATTACGGAAGACAGAGTAAACAATCCACTAAACCAATTTCATCAACATAATTATACACTTGCCAAAACCAGATTAGCCGGAAACTAATGTGACAGCAAGATTCACTTTCACATGGATTATTTATGAACCCTGTTCAAGATTTTATTGGTCATGGATATAGCCTTGTATTACTGTAAGAGACAGTATAGTTACCATAGTGACTGAAGTGTCAGCTGTGGGCTATAAGATATAAAAAACACAGGTAATCTGGTATCTCAGAGATGCAGGGGAGTGTGAAACTTAAATTATATTGGGTACAAATGAAATATATATCCCTCTTGACAGCTCCCATGGTTGGAGTTTGGAATCTTCAATACATAATATGGTATTTTTTTCTTTTAAATTTTATAAAATATGCCCAGTTTTTTAATATATACAAAAGGTATTTATTCATAAGCTATACATTAATACATGTAAAATAGCCTTAAGTGACTCTTTACTATCTTCAAGAGGTATAAACTCTAGTGTATTTAAAGAGAATTTAAACTTTAAATAATTTATTTTATCACATATTTAGTTGCAAGCTGCCATGGAAACTGACTGAAGATTTTCTACATAAACTGTATATCATACAGCCCGGTACATTTGACTTTCAGCTCTTCTCTTTCTGGCCCTTATAACCTTAAAAGAAATAAAGACTATTATTATGTAAAAGAAAAACTTTTTATCAAAAGCCTTGTTAAAAAGTTTAATATTATAAAAAATAAAGTTTCTATAGGAGCCGTATCTAATTTCAGCTATTTTTATAGAGACATATGATGTACCAGCTAAGTAAATGTTCCCAGCCCAAGAACCTTTGCATATCTCATCTAATAAAATGTCAGAAATAATCAAAGAGGTATGGTCTTGAGTTCATTTGCAAAAGAATTAGTCTTGATATAAAAGAGGGAAAAAAAAGGGCTAGGAAATATTTGTGAAAGTTTTGATTAAACTCTTTTTCTCTTGTACCTAAAGAAAAGTATATCCAAGCATTTCTTATTTTCTTGACGATAACTTCAATTTATCAATTACAGACACGTGATCATTTTAGGATAACATTGCATTACTTTCCAAAATTATACGTACTTATTTATATTTAATATACTGTACAATTTATAATGTAGAAATGCATTGATCATGATCACTATTATTATATAACTAAACTGCATAATTTGTAAATGACTTCTTCAACATTGTTAAGTGACAACATAAAATGTATATACGTATATATACATAAATGTGTGTTCATCTAAAATATGTATATAAGTCCCTTTTTATTTATTTATTTTTTATTTTTATTTATTTTTATTTTTGAGACAGAGTCTCGCTCTGTCGCCCAGGCTGGAGTGCAGTGGCACAATCTCAGCTCACTGCAAGCTCCGCCTTCCGGGTTCACGCCATTCTCCTGCCTCAGTCTCCCAAGTAGCTGGGACTACGGGCACCCTCCACCATACCTGGCTAATTTTTTGTATTTTTAGTAGAGAAGGGGTTTCATCGTGTTAGCCAGGATTATAAGTCCCTTTTTAAAATATTGTATTGCTTATATTTTAGTGTCTAAAGTAATGCTATTTTAATAGCATAAATCAGTTGTACAAATGCAATCAATCCTTACTAAGAAATACCTCTTTGAAATATCATTTCATTTATGTATTATGCCATTTTGTATCACCATCTGAATGGAATACCAAATTTCCTTTGTTCTATTAAACCTGATAGTTTTCATACCAGACCCCTCCCAAGTAATCTCAACTGTGCTTTTGCAAATTGAAGTCTCTTGCAGTGCAAAATCTGAATTTTTTATTTGTAAATCTTCTTTTGATTCAGTGCAATTATTATTTCTGAATATTATTTCATGCCTTACCATGAGTATTTTAATTATGTAAATTTGGATTGATAAATAAGGCAATTAAACAAAATTTACCGGCAATATTTTATTAAACGCTAATAACAGGAGTCCTAGAACAATTCTGCTTATGTCAGGCACTATGTTTGGTGCTACAAGAGAGAAATGAGTAAGGTAAGGTCTCTGCATGAACTATGGTAATTACTAGAGGCAATCTTAATATTCAAAAGAATAACATTGCTAAAACTGTTAATAGATGTCCTCTTATTTAATGCCTATTCCGGAGCACACTCTATGCTAAATATCTGAGGAAATGCTATCTCATTTAAAAGAAAACCCCATTAGGTAGTGATTACAGTCACAAAATGTAAAATGTGGGACATGAGCATAAAGTTAGATATTGAGACAGTATATTATTCATTGTGGTGAATTGTGGCGGCTTTGGAGTGAAACTTTTGAATTTTGATATTTTACTTTTCCACTCAACCCATATATCCTCCTGCAATTTACTTAAACTTTCTCTGTCTCAGTTTTCTGACTTATAAAATAGAATAATATACTCCTTACCTTCAAGGTTACTTGTAGCTATTAAATAAGTATGTAATTTAAAGTACTTAGAGCATTAAACTTAGTAAGTGTTCAATAAACATGTATTATTATTTGAGTAACAAGTGGTAGTTTTTTTCTACCTTAATAATAAATATATGTGTCATGTTCACAGTATACTCAGTTGACTTCAAATATTTGAAATTTCTATCTTGTTTTTTGATGTTACTGTGTATTAGTTTATTTTACTCAGTTCCACAGAAGGGACTCTATATAATCCAAAAGTAGTGGTGCTGATGTGGGAACTAGCAGCTTTCACAATTGTTGAAAGATTGAGCAAGAAAAGGTCAAGGCGGTACTCACTAAAGGTCAGAGAAAACAGGAAAGATCTTGTGCTGAAACTCCAAACAGCTCACAGGAATGCTCCTGGGAGTCTCATGTCCACTTACACATCTGGCAACAACCAACTGCAGAAAATACAAATTTCTTTTATTCCTACGTTGAGATCTTTTAGGATCCTCCCATTTGGCAAAGTGAGAACTACAAGGAGAAGGGATTGAAGCAAATGCAGTTTCTGGCTTCCCTGGAGCCATGCAGAAGAAAATGGCTGTAGTGATGCCAAGTTAAGAACGGACAATCAGGACATCTAGTTCTCTGATGCTCGACCGTAGCATTGCTATTCCTGTTTTATAGAATTAGAAAAAGAGGCCCAGAGATACTAAATAACTTGCTTCAGCCCACTGGATATTAAGTAGCAAAGTCAGGATTTGAACCCAGTTTTGCCTGACTATAATACCTGTGTTTTGTTTTAGCCAGTGGGTATACTCTTTAGCTATGCCTAAGCTGTAGCATTTTTTTTTTTGGCAGGGTAGGGTGGGGGGGATGGACTTTCGCTCTTGTTGCCCAGGCTGGAGTGCAATGGCACGATCTCGGTTCACTGCAACCTCCGCCTCCCAGGTTCAAGCGATTGTCCACCCTCAGCCTCCTGAGTAGCTGGGATTACAGGCATGCGCCACCACGCTTGGCTAATTTTATATTTTTTTAGTAGAGATGGGGTTTCTCCATGTTGGTCAGGCTGGTCTTGAACTCCTGACATCAGGTGATCCACCCACCTTGGCCTCCCAAAGTTCTGGGATTACAGGTGTGAGCCACTGCACCCAGCTGAAAAAAAAATTTGTTTTTAATCTTCAATTAAAAATTAATTTAAGATGTTTTAAATTAAAATTTTACTTAAATTTCTATAATGCAGAAAATTGGTGTTGAGTACCTAAAATCACTTAATTCCTATAAATTAAAAATTATATATATATTTTAAAGAGTGGGCAACTGGAAGTTCAGTGTGTGCCAAAATCTCAGGAGATTTCAGTAGCGAAGAAAGGAGTGTTGTTGCTACAAAAGAAGAATTCAACCCTTTGTAGTTGAAAACTGAGTATGTTCAACAGAACACATTAACACCCTGAATGAGGCCAGAGTGCAAGTGGCTATACAATGTGATATTTAAAAAATCAAATAATAGTGAAAGGTACACTGACTCTTAATAATTACATAAAATGTATGCTAGCTTGTTACCTGAAATCATGCACTGCAGATGAAAATGAAGGTATAAAATGGAAGTAAAATTCTTAGAGTCCCTGTCACTTCTAAAACTTTTAGTTTAAATAACAAAATGGGAAAGCATCTGGATGAATCACTTGCTTTTTATTCTGTCTTTAGGATGCACACCCACTTTGTATGCAGAGAACCTTTCCAGAAGGAAACTATTAAAGAAGTAGTCAGTATGTAAATCTACTAATTAGATTACTGCAAATACCAATAACCCATTCTGTTGTTGCTTAAGAAAACAGAGTAGACTTTACAATGCAGTTCTTAAAATGTAAACTAAATATTTGCCTGGCTGCAGAAGTGAATTACTGTTATGGCAATCAGTAATAATATGAATCCTTATCGTATAAGCCTTTTGCATAGCCACTTATCTTCTAAATGAGTCATGAACTCAGAGATGCCAGGGACTTTTCCATACACATGAGACATGGGAGTTGTGTGGAAGTACTGAAATTTCAACTAAAATGAATATTTCTTTAAAATGCCATATATTTTGGCTGAGATATCTTTAACAAAATTACAGAAAGAACAATTTATAATTCCTTTTTCACTCAGAACTAACTAACCCTAAGATGTGAATCACATACATATTTTTAAAACCCTATACAGTCCATGTATGAACTACCAACCTAAAAGGACTAAGATTTTCTCTTGTTTACCATTTTAACTCACTAGGGCACTTTTAGAACTAAATTTTCATTTTATTCATTTTTTAAGTAAAATGCACCCGTAAAATATTCTTATTGAGAGGAAAAGAACATTATGTTAGAAGGAAGGGAGGACATTTTTATTGTGTATTTTTGGATAAGTACCACAAGCTTTCCAAACTTCACTTTTCTTTTCTCTATAGCAAAGAGAATGAGTTGCTTTTTACAAGCCATAACATTTCTGTTTTCTTCTGATAAATATTATAGTTTTCACAATTCATGGTATACTCCCAAGCCAACATTTCTATTATGAGTATAATACATATAAAATGCAAGGTGAGTTTTAAAAGGATGTGAAAAATAAAATTAAAAGGCAAAAATAAAAATATAAATTGTATTTTTCAATATATGCTCTATCAAGGCCAAGAGACTTTTGTAAGCACGTGGATGACACCAACCATTTAGTTCAGCCTTAAGTAACTGAAGTCACCAACATGGTGAAAACATGTCTCTACTAAAAATAAAAAAAATAAAAAAACAGCTGGGTGTGGTGGTACACACCTGTAATCCCAGCTACTCAGGAGAATCGCTTGAACCCAGAGGCAAAGGTTGCAGTGAGCCGAGATTCTGCCACTGCACTCCAGCCTGGGTGACAGAGTGAGACTCTCAAAAAACAAAAACAAAAACAACTTAAGTCCTGGGAATTTAACCATGCAATATAGTCTTTTTTACATTACTGACTAAAGAAAAATATGTGCCCTTTAGCAATTTTTTAAGATTAGAAAACAAAAAGAAGTCAGAAGGAGCTAAATCAGAACTGTAAGTTAGATGTCTAATGAGTTCCCGTTAAAACTTTTGCAAAATTGCCCTTGTTTGATGAGAGATGAAAAGAGAAGCATTGTCATGGTGGAGGGAGGACTCTCGGGTGAAGTTTCCCTGGGCATTTTTCTGCTAATGCTTTGGCTAACTTTATAAAAACACTCTCTAATAATCAGATGGCATTGTTATTTGGCCTCAGAAAATCAATAAGCAAGAGGCCTTAAGAATCCCATCAAACTATTGTCATGACCTTTGCTCTTGATCAATCTGCTTTTGCTTTGACTGGACCACTTCCACTTCTTGGTAGCCATTGCTTTCATTTTGCTTTTTCTTTAGTATCATACTGGTAAAGACACTTTATATTTCCTGATAGAATTCTTTGAAGTGATGCTTCAGGATCTTGAACCCATTTGTTTAAAATTTTCATCAAAAACTTTGCTCTTGTCTGCACTTGATCTGGGTACAACAATTTTGGCACCCATTCAGGGAAAGTTTGCTCAATTTTAATTTTTCAGTCAGAATTGTGGAAACTGGACCAATTGAGATGTCTATGGTATTGGCTATTATTTGTGTTGTTGTTGTGAGTGGCGCAAGATCAGACATAATTAAATCCACACGTTTGTGTTTTTTCACAAAGTCAAATTTTTATTGATGTTATTTTTAATCACAAATGCCTCAAGCTACATGGAGCTCCCAAGGAAGCAAGTCTCCTTATTACTACCCATTAACTTGGTAGTCAGAACCATGGGCACACAGGATCAAGCCTCTCCACAGGTCAGTCCACATTGTAAACCATACCTAGTAGTATACATAATCAGTATATAAATATTATAGATTAAGATTTTACACAAAGCACGGTAACATTTAACATCAAAAAAAAAAAGGGGATAGGAAAGAGAGTTAAAATAAACCAGTCAAAGAAGAGTGATGTTGACAAAGAAAGTGTCCTGGCCTGATCCAGACAGTAGTCAATGCTTTTCAAGGAAGAGTCTTTGATTTGGGCAGAGTGTTTGGTGTCAGAAGCCGGGTGCTGATCATGAGTAACAGCAAGATGGGGTCTATCAAGATGACCATGTTTAGCTGCTAAAGTCCTATTTACTTTGTGACCCTTGAGTCCTCTGGTGAGGACTGATAGTAAAGGATTATGTCCTTCTTTGGTTGGGTATTGTCTATTGATTGAAGGAACATCTGGACACTGTTGGCTTGATGACTTTTGAAATTTAAGATGGAGTTGTCTCTCAAGATGGATTCACTCATGTCAAGGGTGCTCTATAAATCTCTGTTAATCATTGATCCTTTTCAATTGGGGCACCAACAGGATTTCTTCTCACAAGTTGATGTAGATGATCAGCTGCTGTGGGCTTCATCTTCAACATCATCTTGTCCCTTCTTAAAACAAGTTATTGATTTGGAAACTACTAATTTCTAATAGGGCATTATCCCCATTAAAGTTTTTGTAAAGCATTAGTGATTTCACCATTCTTCCATCCAAGTCTCACCGTAAGTTAAGTAAGTTAGATGTCTGTTCTTTCTTTAATTTTAGCAGAATTAATGTTGCTCTGATTGGGATGCTTTTCAAACTGATTCTCTTATCCTTCTTACTGCCTCAACCTAAATCTTATTTAGACATGTTATCAAAAGCTGGTACAAGTTTATTTTGATACAAAAAAAATTCAAAATCCATGCACAGTTTTTCCATAATATATATTTTCCATAATCTTTTTGAAGTCTCCTTGCACAGTAAACTCATAGTTTTACATTCTTTCAATCAGGATTTATTTTCAGGCTTATTCTCCTAAATTGTTGACAATTGGATATATCTCAGCATTTTGGCTAAAATAGTAAACTTGATGTCTACCTTTTTCTTAATGCCCCAAGAAGTTAAAATCTTAAAGCAGTTGTGTTCAAGATGTAAGGGTCATTCAGCCTGTGTTCCTTTTCAGAAGCACTACAGACATTTGATGGGGATAATACTTTAAGTGTGCTCCTCACTGTGCACTTAGGACATTAAAGCATGGTCCTAGATTCCAGTAGTATCCACTACTTGGTGCATGGTCCTTGATTCTAGTAGTAGTCACAGGCCTCAGACTACAGGTCATTGTGATAATGAAAATCTTCTCCCGTTTCCACATATGCCTTAATAGGGCAGTAAAATAGGACTTTATATTGTTACATAAGAACATGATGTCACAGGAATTTGTTATTCTCACAAATCAAACACAAGTGTGAGTAGATTCTAGAAATTAAAGCAAGGCCATCTTCATGATTACAATTCAGAATTCCTTTCAAAAATAGCAATATTTCTTTGTAGCTATAGTTTAATCCTTTGTTTTTGTTTCTTCTGAATTTTGAATTAGGTTCATTCAAAAAATCAGGAATTGCTTTGCTTTCTTCCTTAGCCATTTCTCTTATATCGACTCCCCTGAATTGGGCATTTTTATTTGCTTTAACTAGCACTTTATTGAAAAGTCCTTTACTATCTCATATTAACTTGTACTTAGTCATTCTACTTTTTGAAACATTCCTTTTTGCCATCTTCTTCAATATATTCTGTTGGAGGGCTTTTTAAGCTATTCTTTTATTGTGATGGTCTTTTTCTTAATTATTTTCATTGTCCCCTAAACAAATTCACACCATAAATTTCAAAATAAGTAGAGTCTAAAGTTTGACTCCATTTGTTTTTGTCTTTTGCATTCTTATTCTTGAAATACAGGAACCTTAAGCTGTACAATAATATTCCATTTGCTCAAACTTGCCTAACTGAAATGATAGGTCAATATATAACAAAAATATTTCTTCTGGAATCATCCTTTATTTTCTTTGGCCAAACAAATGGGAGTCCATTAAGTGGATGGCATACCTTATCATTCAGCATAATCTATAATAACACAGAAAAATAATCAACATAATTGCTTAAATATTTTGTACGTATTTCATAGGCAAAATCTTCCTGCTTCCTGATTCCCTCTTTTCGTAATTTTTCTTTCTTTTCTTTTTTTTTTTTTTGAGGTGGAGTTTCACTCTGCCCCCAGGCTGGAGTGCAGTGGTGCTATTTCGGCTCACTGCAACCTCCAACTCCCGGATTCAAGAGATTCTCCCACCTCAGCCTTCCGAGTAGCTGGGATTTCAGGCACCCACCATCATGCCAGACTAATTTTTTTTTTTTTTTTGTATTTTTAGTACAGACAAGATTTCACCATGTTGGCCAGACTGGTCTTGAACTCCTGACCTCAGGTGATCCGCCCCCTTCGGCCTCCCAAACTGCTGGGATTACAGGCATGAGCCACCATGTCTGGCCTCTTTTTGTAATTTTTCTATCTTGCATGTATACAGAATTCTCATTTTTTCATATGTTTTCTATAATTATGCCATTTTAATATTTTACTTTGCAGTGATTTATGCTATTAAAGAGAATTAAACATAAAAATAAAATAAAAATATCAATAGACCTATAATTCAACTGTTAACCATCATTTCCAAACAATAAAATTCCATATTTTAATTCTAATGTATTTATTCTATTAATCCTTAGATAAATTAAGTTCATAACATTCCAGCTCCAGCTGGTTGTCAAATATCTTTTCAATTTTAAATGAATCCATCCCAAATTAATACAAGATGACTGACTTCAAAAAGTATGTAATCTAGTAGACAGAATAGGGAATTATGAAATGTATATTCTAAAAGCAAACTTGATTCAAAAACAGTATAACGTATTGAGAAATTAATGCTGATGTGACACTCTGGCCACATTATTTGATATATAATTATAATTTGAAAATATTTCTTATGTTACTATTCAAATGACTTCATTGACTATTCTGTTGTCCACATATTAGAAACTCCTAAATAGTTAAGCATAGAAACTCTAAGCTGATGCTGAATGAAAAGTAATTGTTCAGATGATGGTACTGTAAAAGAAGATATTAAATGAATTTTTATAAGAATAATTTTTAAATAATATACTGCAAGATGACACCAAATTCTTTTCACCATGATAAAGGTTTTGCCATGAAATTATTTGCAAACTTTTAAAAAGTCTTGCTTTAAGTATGATCTTCCAAAATTACAAATGTATTACAGTGTCCTCTCAATCGAGAATGCACACACGCAAGTAATATACAAAGAAAATATGTACATTTCCTTAATCCATTTCCATGTCCTCATTTGTTCTGTGATAATAGTGATTTGTAAAAGCCCGTGTATATGTCCTATGTTTCTTTTTTCTGATCTAAACATATAGATATATTTTTTATCAATAAATTTTATTTTTTATTTTAACAAAAATATATCGTAAAATATTCTACTACATACTTTCACATTTAAATTACATTAAAATATGATTCACAAAGGCAAATATCTCTTCCCTTTCTCTTGATGTATCTCCATTGCTTGGAACTTTGCTGGGCACGTAATAGGCAGGTAGTAAAATGTGTGTATACTGAATAAATGAATTATTGTATCTTTTAAATCAATGGATATCAATTTTCCATGTTCTTTTAAAGGCTGCATACTATTTCATTATATAGATATACCACAATTAATTTAACAAATTCTCAAATTATTTTTTCTCAGTGTTGTTTTTGTTTTTTTGGACATATCAAGACTACAACCTCATATAGGATTACAAGTAGTTTGATTTTGATTTCTATATAATACATTGCCAAAGTGATATTACTAAGCCACTACTAAATTTAACAGCTATTGTCAGATTACCTTCCATAGGAATGATTAAAAGGCTCATTTCT
This sequence comes from Homo sapiens, assembly GCF_000001405.40. Lineage (NCBI taxonomy): Eukaryota > Metazoa > Chordata > Mammalia > Primates > Hominidae > Homo > Homo sapiens. The sequence continues at coordinate 134,878,199 of NC_000004.12, read as the reverse complement.
ACCAAGGATACATGAAAATGTCATTTCCCCAATCCTGATTAAGACAGATTTTTGTTGATCTTTTAAGTGTGGTAAGTATGTTCAGTGCAATATGGGATCAGTTCTGTTTTTGCCTAAATTAGCATTTCTCCAACTATGACTCAATTTGATTTGATGACCCTTCAAAGTTTTATATTTTATTTCCTTTTCTGGAAATTGCCTATTAATATTCTTTGTCTTTTTTTCATTGAATGCTCTATTATTTTCTCATCAATTTCTAGGTCCTTTTTAATATTGTGGATGCAAACCCTTTTCTGTTAATTTTCATGTAAATATTTTATTATTTTAAATTATTATTTTCATAATGTCTTTTGAAATAATTTTTTAAATCCATGGAGAATTATTAGGTGTGGGGTATTCAGGTGGTGTGTTTCATTCTAGTAGACAGTAAATTTTGCTGACACCAATTATTAAATAGTTTAATGTCCTGCTTGTAGAAAGATTCTAGTCAATACTACTAGAGCCAATTCCACTGTGAAATTATTGGTCATCCATGGAAATAAGGCTTGAATATCTTCCATATTTTCTATCAAACAATAATAGATATTTGTTGAATTAGGTTGAAAAATCATTTCTATGTTGAGTTATTCTTGTAACTATTTCTAATAATAAGCATATATTACTACAAATTTTATACAGCATTATTACACAAATATTTTTAGACCTATAGAATAATATTTAATATCAAGATTTTTTGACACCAATGTGACTTTCTGGGGACACTCAGATGCTAAACTCTGGGTGTTTTCTCTTATTCAATTGGTGAAATTGTATTAGTGGGAAAAAAGCAAGGGATTGGGTAATATTTTTAAAACAGTATTGAAGAATGTTCCCAGAATCTGCCTAACAAATTCAAATTATTATTGCTCAATGAAAATCTTGTATAATAATGTTGACACAAGTTTATGGTTTATGGAAAAAACTAGTATTGTTTTTCACATGTAACTATCTCATGCATTTTTCTCATTGATAATTTTACAAAACTCTGGTAATATAGGACTTACTTTGACTATTTATTTTTTGTTCTTGCAGTCAATATTCAAAAGATAGTTACTTTGGAAAGGATTACGATTCACATTGGTCATAACTATAGACTGGTTTTGTTGAGGCGTAAGTCTACCTTAAATGTTATTTCAGTTTTATCTCAGACTTTTTTTGGCATAAAATAAGTATTTGCCAGTAAACTGGAATATAAACTCTAAAATGTAACACTATTTTTAGTTAAGTTTTTTGTATCTCAATTTGATTTAATGAATTTGCCACCATGTATGTGTGTGTATGTGTAAGATGTTACCAATATTACTTAACATCTTTTAAAAATTGTTAATTTTGAAAGAAAGGGGCAGATTGTAAGAAATGACAAATTAAAATATTGTAATATAATTATCCTGGAAAACTGAATAAAATGAAACTAGAAAATAAGACCTTCCAAATTACTTGTTTATTATGGTGCTTGAGTCTTTCTGGAATGTTAATAGGGTGTCTCAAATTATCTCAGTTTTATCTATGCAAATTGGGTTTACAAACTACATAGAAATAAATCCTGAATACTCCTACCTACACTGTATATATATTCATTTTTTACGTTAATATTATTCTTTTCTGGGAACATTATATGAGGACAGAAATGGATACCATCATTTTAATTGAAGTCTATATGCGTATGGACCTGCATTGTTCCATTTTTCAGAGGAACTCCTTTCATTCGTATCCAAGAGTAGTCAAACCTTTCCTTCAGAAAAATTGAAGCAGTTGTTTGCTTGAACTATATTCTAATGATTCTTTTTGAGGATTTACCAGAGGTATAAAGGAAAAACAAAAATAAGTATGGTTTCTTTAATTGTTGAGTTGGACTGACTTGGCATTTTTATTTATGTCTGCCTCATTAGTTATAAATTTGTATTTTGCAGGGAGAGATATACCAGGATAGGCTGTAGTTCTTGTTGCTGGCTATTGTGGTTGTTGTTCAAGTGAAAGCCCTATAATTTGCATATTACTATAATTTGGAGTAACAGTTATAATAGAATTTATTGTCACATTTTTATCTTACCATTTTGGCTTTGTTTTGTTTCCCTGATAAAATTGTGCCATGAGAATTACTTTCCCAATTAGAGAGTGTTGGAAGTTATTGGAAGTAGTCCCGAGGCTGTGTGGGAGTACAGCCCCAGGCAAATCAGAGGTACTTAGGCTTTCCTTGTCACTGGCAGTTAGCAGCCGTGTACTCTAAGTGAATCTCAGCCTTCCCCTCCCCACCCAAAAACACCAAAAAAAAAAAAACAAAAACAAAAACGGAAAAGGAAAAATTATAGAAGCATCTAACAACCGGCCGGGCGCAGCAGCTCACGCCTGTATTTCCAACACTTTGGGGAGGCCGAGCTCCTAACAAGATGTAAGACTAATGAACAAGTGTTACTTTATTTTAAAATATTTCAATGAGACTTCATTGGGAAATACAATACTGGAAGCCTGCTGACCTCTCTAGGATCGTCTTATGAGTGAGTTACAGCAACTGTTGAATGATCTGCTATATAATTTCTGCTGCTTGAACAGCCCACATTTACTTTGCCTATTGTCCTATATTTTATCAGAAAAAGCAATTTGTGTAAGTTTTTAGAAAGAAGAAATATTAGTATTTAAGTCTTCATAAAGGTGAATTCCTGGGGTTTTGTGGGTTTCAGATATAACTTTTTGAAAGATTGCAAGAAGCCATCCTGATGAGATACCTACTACGGATATCTCATCCCTTAGCAGAAGGGACCAATGCGTTTCCTGTAATGTGCTGTTACTATCACATCTTCTCCTTTGAGTATATTTATGTAATTATAATATATATATATATACACACATATATATGACATATCTTTAATTTGATAGGTTTAACTTCTTTCCTCATGTCATTTTGTGGAAAAATATTTTAAAGAAGTCAGGTTTATCTTTTCATTTTGTAATTTTCAAATATTGTAAGATTTGAATCACATAATAAGCCACTGGACTAAACATCATAGCAGATAGAGAGTTGTGTAGGACAGTATCTGCCTTCAAGCACCATTCTTCATTGGGATGACATAGACCAAGAATATCAAGAGAGCATATACCACATAAGTGCTGTCAGGATTCAAAGGACAAAGCATTCACACAATATTGAAAATCATTAAATACTAAGGGAGAATGTTGAATTTTGGAGTTCTTAATGATAATGAAGGTAATTAATTATATAGAAAAATATTTTAAATAATTTGACATGACAGCTCATATATCAGAGTAGTTTTCTGCATAGTACATGATGAAATTTCACATTTTTTGCTATATTGCACACTTACTTATTTTGAGATTATAAATAAAAGGGTTTTTTCATAATTTTATCAAATGCATTTTTAATCTTTATTTTGAAATAATAAACATTGATGCCAATAGAGACATTATCTGCATACTGTATTATCAAGTAATCTCACAGCTGGAGACAGATAATTTTCCTAAAAATTATTTGTATAATACAACATACTTTCTACCATCAGAGAGGAAGTTCAATCAATAACAAAAAGGTTAGAACAAGCACATGTTTGTGTAGGAAGAAAAGAGAAGAGATGGAGAGAGTCTGGCAATTGAATAGCCACACAATAATAATTGATCTTTTCCCTTAACTCCTCTGAATCTTACACAAACTTCTGAGTTGAATCAACATTCCATATAGACTACTACAGATCTACCTGGGAAAAGGAAATATTATATCTGAAAACTCTGAAATGGGCAATTTTTTAATAATCTCTTCTTCTTTTTTTTTTTTTTGAAACAGAGTTTCATTCTTGTTGCCCAGGCTGGAGTGCAGTGGCACAATCTTGGGTCACTGTAACCAACCTCTGCCTTCCAGGTGCAAGCAATTCTCCTGCCTCAGCCTCCTGAGTGGCTGGGATTACAGGCAAGCGCCACCACACCCGGCTAATTTTTGTATTTCCAGTAGAGACGGGGTTTCACCATGTTGGCCAGGCTGTTCTTGAACTCCTGACCTCTGGTGATCCACCGGCTTCGGCCTCCCAAAGTGCTGGGATTTCAGGCTGAGCCACCTCACCCAACCAATAATTCCTTCTTACAATTTCACTCTTCTCAATCCTTAGATTTAGTCCTCAATGTTAGTTTTCTTGGAAAGTTTTATTCGATTTCCAAATATAGTTTGGTTGCCATTGTTTCATTTCCTCTTAGAATCCCACAGGTTCCCTTTCCTATCACTTAACACACTGAATGGTAATTGCTCTTTATTCTCTCTCCTTTCCTTGGGCTCTACTCTCTATGAGGAAACAGGTTGCCTTGTCTTATTCACCATTGAATTTCTCCTGCCTAATACAGTGTTAGAAACTGCAGATGCATAATAAGAATGTATAAAGAGAATAGATGAAATCTAATTCCTTGACCTCAATTGGCTTATCTTTTAACACTTTGCAAATGACTCCTTCAGTTTTTTTTTTATGACTTCTCATTTTGCTCCCTCTCTCCCTCCATCTACCTTCTCTCTGTCAGTCTCTCTCTCTCTCTCTGTCCCCTCTCATATTTGTATTGATGCTTATTTAATCACTTATCAAACACATATGTATTAATGCCTGCAATATGATAAGCCATGTGGTACTGTAGGGGACAAAAAAAGACATGCTTCCTCCTCTGATTCAGAATATAACCCATCATGTTTCAAGACAAATTATTGTATGGTTTTTGTTTATTTTTTTGTTTAGTTGGGACAGAACATGGGCTTCCAGTGATAGGTATTTTTCTCTGATTCATATTATTTTTGAATCAATTAGTTATCGGGGAATTATGCAAGAAAATACAAATATAGCTCATTTAATTAGAACTGATTATCTTAGATCAACACACCTATTCAGCAGACCTGTTCTGTGTTTCCTTGAACAAGTGACGTGACCTCTCTAATCATCACTTATGCCATGTGGAAATCTCCATGGTATTTGGTAAAGATGTAATAACCTACATAAAACATTTAGTTTTTCCTTACACATTATAAGTGATCAATATTTACTGATTTTCCTACTATAAAACAACTGATATTACACAGAGAACAATGTCTAACTGAGATTATCTTTTTTTCATTGGATTGAAATGAATTACTTGATTTTTTTCTAAGGGCAGATGCTTGGAATGAATAATCTTTAAAGGCTTATTTCCTTGACTTTATTAAAATGATATGAATATATTTATCATATATAGTAGTATCTTTATGAACTTCACTTCAGTTTTTTTTTCAATTTGTATAATCTGAATAAAGACACACATGCATGAATTAATACACTGGTTATGTTTATGCTAAATAACTATATATTGAATAAAGCTTGCCTATGTTGCATTCTACCTCTTTGAATACTTGAATTGCCCGGTCAGTGAATGGAAAAGCTTAAATGCTTAATTCCATGGAGCTTCATTAATATAGTCTCAAAATGTTTTCAAGATCCTTCTTTTTGCTAACTAAAGATGAATAATTCTGTACATTCCTATTATGAAGCCTAACAGTGACTCATATATTCCAAATTGCATCTATTGACATGTTGTGTCTATTCATATTTTAACTTTCATCTCTCATTTCTTTCATTATCAGCTCGTAAGAACCACTGGAAATATGCAAAAATGTAGGTGATATATCAGGAAATTGTCTGTAAAATTTAAATTCTAGCAAGGAATTTGATATCTGTTTGGGAGGCCTGTTATTTTCAGTTACTTTAAATGATTCTGAAACAAAATGTAAAAACTAAATTTTTAAAACATATGGCCTTAGATGATATTTAGTTAGCCTTTACCAGTGAGATACTAGCCTAACGAGGCAGCAGCAAATGTTTGGCGTGTGTGGAATGAGTCTGTTTTTCAAAAGTTGTTAGCCTTGCCTATTTCAGTGAATGCTTTGTTGTGAGCTGAAATAGTTTACTTCCACTCTAAGTAACAATCAGATAGATGGGTAATGCTTGTTTGATAGGGGCATTCAGTATGAATGAACGTCATATGTTTACCAAATCAAGACAAAGTTGGAGTTTATAGATGAAACGCTGGCATCTCCAAATCTCCACCTATCTTGTTCACAGGATCTGTTGTCTCCTTGTCCTCTTCAGAATGGACAGAGGAAGCCAGAGTATAGCCACCTCCATAAATATCAACTCACCACATTTTGACAACTGGTACAGATTGTGTATCTACTATACATCTGGCATGATAAAAAATACTATGCTTGCCCGTATTATAGAGTTATCAATTTTCTGCATAAGTATAGGAAAAAACATAGGTCATAGTAAATCTACTATAATTATCAAATCTGTTAACTAGATTAGCAGGAACATAACAATACCAGTGTTCTTAAACTGGCCATGAATAACAATAACAACAATAATACAACAAAATATTCTACTTTTGCTTGTTCATATGAGTGTACTTTTTGACATTTTGTCTTCCTGTTTAATATATTAGTATTAGTAGTTTTTTATACTTATGTTTTTCAATTATAAGGTTAGCTAATAATATGCCTGTGAATTTATGAAGATTCACGGTGAACTGCCACTATAGCTGCAAAACAGATATATCTGCTTTCACAAGAGTATACTTTTAGCATGTATTAAATTTATCAGAAAGTTTTCAAGCCACTTTTTTTCCTGCATATAATAAATTTTAAAAAGCAATTTAGAAATTACTCATAATACAGTGAATTGCCTAGCAATCCCATGAGTTCAAATTATGTCCTTGAGAAATGATTTAAAATAAAACAGACTTCATTAAGTGAGAAAAATAAATCTTTCCATTAAAGTAGCACCCAAACTCTAACAATATAAATAACAAATCGCTAGAGGCCTCAAATGATAGGGTTATAACCAAGGTTAATTTTTAAAATATTTTGAACAGTAAGAAATTATAATTAGGGGAAAGAAAACAAGTCGTGAAGTTATTGAACCATCATGGGAAAACAACAGATTTAAGTTTTTACTATTCTTCGGATAAAGCTCCCTTGAGTTGGCAGTAAATGACAGTTGAAGAATACTTGTTAGATAACTTTGGAAATCTTTGGCTATATAATGATTAAATCCCAGCAGCCTTTTACTTGAAGACTAGTCATTCATTCAAAGCTGTTAGAAAAAAAAATACAAATATTTTTCTCATGGAGAAGTGATTCCTTTTATTGATCTTTGAAGAGTATATTGTATTATGAATGCTAAATTATTTATTTCCAATTGGAAATGCAACTTTAGAAAAATTCATATTAATTTAAATAAATTTACTTCAAGTCAAAAAATATTTATGGAACATTTGTAATACGCAAAACTCTATGCTACAGATTTCTAAGGGATATATAAAAATAAGCTAGATATATTCTTGCATGGGGGAGGAGCTATAGGAAGAAAAGCCTCATTACATGGGAGTGAGACACTTCCGAGCTGGGTCTTGAAGGGCTGGGATGAAGTAAACAAGAAAAAGGTGAGTGGGAGCTATTTCAGGCAGAAAGCAGCACAAGAAACAGGAAAAGATCGGAGGACGTGAATATATAACAAACTAGTATAAAATGAAAACCTGTTAACTTTCTGTTGTTGTTGATGTTGTTGTTACAGGGTATCACTCCCTTGCCCAGGCTGGAGTGCAGTGTTGGGATCTGGGCTCACTGCAGCCTCAACCTCCCAGGCTCAAGTAATTCTTCCACCTTAGCCTCCCGAGTAGCTAGGACCACAGGAACCTGCCACCATGCCTGGCTAATTTTTGTAGTTTTTGTATAGATGGGGTTTCACCATGTTGCCCAGGTGGGTCTCAACCTCCCAGATTCATCCAATCCTCCAGCCTCAACTTCCCAGAGTGCTGGCATTACAGGCATGTGCCACCACCCCCGGCCACAGAAGCACCATGCCTCAAGTAATTTGTGTGACACTAATTATGCAATCAACAAAAACTAAAACATTGCTCCCAGTTAGGTGTCAGCTGTGCAGAATTATACTGAATAAACTTGTGGTAAAGAATAAGACAAAGAGAAGTCACCTTGCATGATCACAGAGAGAAAACATTCAACAATGTTGAGGAAGACATGTTGAATGAGTGTCTGGCTCAGTCATGGGGCCTAAATGTCATAAGGGAGCTGTGATTCAGGCTTTTAAAGAAATAACCTTTCAAGTAATTTCTATGTCATGGGGACAAGACCCTCAGTTAAAATAAATTAAAAGAAACTAATAAAATTGCATAAAATATCAATAACTTTTTTAAATAAATGGCTTTAGTAATTTGATTCAGCAAGTATTCTTACCCAAGAATGTGTATTGATGAGACACCGGAAACTGGAAATATAACAAACAGTTCAACAAAAGCAGGTCATAGCATATGAAAATATTTATAACAAAAATTGATTTCTTTGTAAGTAAACTCTAAATTATTTTTCATTATTAGTTCCTATTGCAAGATTTACTCCCCTTTTTATACATATTTTCCTGCAAATATCCATGTTATAAATAATTCCTTATAAAGATTTCTTTTTTAAAAGATCCTACATTTATTTAGGTTTCTAGTAATTTTAAAATTGAGCAAAAGATAAAATTTTAGCCATTTTTTCACATTATTAAATGAGGAGTTAGGTTAAATAGAAAGAAGTAGTGTTTTAGATTGTTTATCCATTTTCTTTGTCTATATGAGTGTGAGCTGGGATTCCTAATATCACACTCAGTTTCAGTGATTTGCTAGAAAAACTCACAGAACTCAGAAAAGCCATATTATCATGATTGTGGTTTGTTACAGTGACAGGATATAGAACAAAATAGCAAAGGAAAGAGGTGCATAGAGCAGAGTCCGGGAGGCTTGGGGCGATAGATTCCAGGTGTCCTTTCCCAGTAATTGTGCACACAGTGCTTATTTCTGCCAGCAATGACAAGTGACAACACTAATGAAGTATTGTCAACCAGAGAAGCTCACCCAAGCCTTTATATGCAGAGTTTTTATTTTTGTTTGGTTACATAAGAATGGCGTTTTTTTTTTTTTTCTTTCACTTCTGAAATGCAGAGTTACTATTGAAGGAGAGTTTGAATAAGGAGCTAGATTAAAGATTTGGGTCAGTAGACCACGTGGACTTCGGCCCATTATTTCTAAACTGCTTCCTGTGAATATTCTCCCTGAGGATAGTCCTCTGCCCTGGCATAGTAGGAAAAAAAGTAGAGGGATTGCTAACTGTATATGTACCTGTCCCCTGCAGTGATTTCTTATAACATTTATTCCTGCCCATCTGGCCAAGACTCTCCTCAGTAGTAATTTCTGTGAAATTTTCTCCTCTAACTTAACCCTATTGAATACTCAACTATTTCTTAAATAGAGGCAAATCTATACATTTTGTGTTAGCTTCCTCTCCCATCTTACATTGCCTTTTAAATTGCCTGAAACTAATTGTTTATGTCAGTTGGAATTTACAAATAGACTGCAGGGATTGTCATTAGCTAGTTGATAACTCTAGATTAAAATTCATTTTCTAATATATCTCCTGTTTTCTATTCCTCAACCTTTCCATGAATTCAAACACTATTCTGGGATGACCTCTAAGCTCTTTTATGCCTCTGGATCAGCAAATACTTCGGTTTTCCCCATCAAGATGTATGTTGCTAATTGAGTAAAGCCCATTTAGTAGTGCTCACCTCTTAATTAACTTTTAGTAGTTTCCAAATTTGATATGAATAAGAGTTAACTACTCTCCTACAAACTCACTACTACTAAAAAACAATCTCAGAACAAACATTGCCCCTGACATAGACAGCAAACAAACATTTATTAGTAAGTAAACAATTTCTCATAACATTTATCTTAGAAGTTTGATAAAATCCTAGTTCTCTGGGATTTTTTAAGGTTCTATGATCACAACTTAATGTAAAAAGTCAATAAAAAGCAGAGGATAATCTAGAGGCAGGATTCTGTTACCCATAAGATTGTTATCATAGAAACAGAAATTCTTCAAAACCAATTTCTGGATAGAAGTCTTCTTAGGGATCAAGCTTTTGGCTTGCCTAGGCTCTTGAGGAAATAGTGAGTACCCAAAAATATTTTAGCTATTCACCTATATATTATAGGTTAATACCTATAATTTAAAATTGATAACTACTTCTAATATTTATTACACTAGTTAACAAGTCAATACTTGTATTAATAAAAACAATTTTACTTTAAATATTTGAATTAGCAAATCCTCAACTATTGATTTAATTATGGAAAATAGGAAAAATTTAGTATTCCCTTTGAATTATGGTCTTTGAGATATAATAGGAACTAACCAACACTGCAGAGTATCTTTTTCTGATTAAAGCAACTGTCACCAGAGTTGAAGTGTAAACTAGTACCAACTTACTAACACACTGTCTATATCTGATTGCAATCTTTTCAACCACATTCCAGACATGAAAAAAAAAGTTCAATTTACCTTTGGAGATACTGGCTAGGTTCCCAAGATCAGCTTTCCAGCACACAGAATACATATGTCATTGCTCTTGTGGTATTTTTTATTTTTCATAAATTTTATGTTTAGATGATCATTAACTGTTTTAAGAAAAAAAAAAGTTGAGGGTTCGAATTCTTAATTCTAGCATACTTCTGAAAGGAGAGTTGAGCAGATTTCTCTTCACCCTCCATTTTCCTACCAAACAGCCATATATTCTTTCTCAGAAGTTTTCTTTCCCTTTATTTCTTTCTGTGTTTTTCCTCCCCTGCCCAATTCTTTTTGTTTGTTTCATTTTTTTTTTCAGTTTGATATAATATCAGTTACAGAAAATGTGCAAGAATAATAGCCAACTCAAGATCATGTGTTCAGTTCCTCAAACTTTCTTTTTCTTTCATGACCCTGATATTTTTTAAATGCCCATGGCTGTTTAATTGTAGAATGTTCCTCAATTTGAGTTTGTCTGGTTTTCCTCATGATTGAACACAGGCTATAGAATTTGGCAGGGATACTACAGTACATGTTTTGCAGCCTTCAATGTGCATCACATCAGGAGATACTTGATACTCCATTTGTCCCATTATAATTGATAGCTTTCATCATTTGCAATCCCAGAGACCTGAGATATTTACTAGAGACCTTTCCTGTACTCACCTACCCCTTGGCACACCAAATAATTCACTAAGAGATGTAATTAAAACTTCTCATATGAACCTCAAATTCTTCTCCTCTTTCTCACTATCTCTGCAATGGTCTCAGTGAAAACCCATACATTTATAATATATTAAGGCAGTGACTATCTAACTGACTACTTTTTTACTTGCTCTCTCCTTCATTGTATACTTCATTAGCTCTCACTGTCAGTACTCAAGAACATAAGGTCCCTGACAGCAAGAACCTTACCTCTTTTGTATACCACAGTGTTAAAATAGTGTTTAAAATGTAGTATTTCATAAATATTGGCTGAATAAAAGAATACAATGCAAATTTAAAACTTTGAAACCTAAAATTCTGCTATTGTTTCTCACAGATTTACAGCGATTCTTTCAACACTGTGGCCTAACAAATACAAGCTTACCATTCCAAATTTATCCTTTACCACCCTTTAATATACCCTATTGCTTCAGAGATAGAAAATCATCAACACTTAACCCGTCAATCTATTTTACAACAACACACTTTTGTACATGTTGTTACCTTGTCTGTCATTTTTGAACTACCTGTAAACTCACTTATAATTCAAAAATGCAGGTCAATTCTTGTTTGATCACCATGAACTTCCTGTTTTAGTGGAGATATATTTTTTCCTATGCTCCAGTAGCAAACTCCCATCAGAGCACTTAGTTCACTGAACTGTATTGCTCTCCTCTTTCTCTTGTGCCTATAGGGTAAGGATAATTTATTATTTATGTTTTTATCTCCAGATCATAACTGAGTACCTGTTAGAGGTGGACAATCAATATGCACTTGTTGAAAAAGTGAATGCTGAACCCTACATGTTAAATAGCCTTTCACCCCGTCTACTTCCTTTGCAATTGTAGTTCTACTTATCCTTCAAAACTCAGTTTTCATTTCCTCCAGATGAAGTGGTCTATTTTCCTTCTTGGAACTCAACAATTCCTCTTTGCATTCATCACTCTTAGTGTTTATCATTATTAAACATTTAAATCAATTTGATGTGTAGCATAAATGACTATTTGTTTTTATATCTCCCAAAGTGACATATAAATCCAATGACACATTCTATGTCTTAGTTCTCATTAGATTTGCAATAATAATTATAAAACAATAATTCCTTCAGGAAAAAGCAGCATTATAGTGAGCAATTGTTAGAGCTTTATTACACACACAAACCACTGGAGGCAGTAGAAGGAGTGAACCCTTTGGGGGGAAGATTTTTATGGAGAATAAAAAGAAAATAACGTTCTATTGTGTAACAAAGTATAGAATTGGCTGCCCCATGAAAAAAAAATGCTTTGTATATATAAACTGATTGACTGTAGTCTTTGTGGTCAGACCATAAAGACACATTATATGTTCATTTTATGCATACTTTTCATTTTGACAACTGTTAGTTAAGTACAAATTGTGAGAGATTGGTATTATTGCTTGTAAAATTTATTCTCACATTTTAGTAGTGATTCACACTTTGTAAATTGTATTTACATACATTACATCTTGTTAATACTTAATGTTATTCTGTAAAGTAGGAATTGTCATCTGTGAGTTTAGGAGACGAAATTGATATTCTGCAAATTCAAGTTCAAATTCAAATTCACATGTTGTATGTTCAATTACCAGAGAAATATGCAATTGCAAAATCATGGCAATATAGGCAGAGAGGAAAAGAAGTAATGATTTGGGATCTGATCTAATATTTTTCTATTTGTATGGCAGTTGTTAGTATAGTTTATTCTGTTGTAGAAGCTAACTATCAGTGCTCTAACTCTGATAGCTGACTCACAAATACTCAATTCAAAAATAATGTAGAGTCAGTTATTTAATCCAAATTCAGCTTATGAGATGTCAGATGGCTAAAATGCAAAGGAATCTGAGATTTCTAATCACCTTATCTAATTTTGTAGTTTAGAATATTAATTAAAAAGCATCAGATGACGTGTACTGTTTGTGTGTGTCCAGGGTCGGCAAGTACTAGAGGTGAAAGCAAGTCTCCTGGTCCTAGACCCACATTAGAACATGGTGATTTGACTTACAAAAATGTTCTTGGAGCAGAGGTGAAGACAGCAAGTTTAGTAACAATGTTAAGTTATTGCCTCAAAAAAAAAAAAGTATCTCAAGTATAATGGAGAGGAAAGAGTAGTACTAGTAAACCTAACAATGAAGAGATTTGTAAGTCTTGAAGTGATTAATGAGTCTTTGATAATCCCAGGGCCAATGCTCATTCTCTTCCATCCAGTCCATTATTTTCTTTTTATTCTCCATAAAAATCCTCCCCATGAAGGGTTCACTCCTTCGATTGGCTCCAATGGTTTGTGTGTGTAATAAATAGGTATTTTCAGACATTCATTAAATTTTTGAGTAAATTATAACCTGAGTAGTATCATGCTCTTTTCATAACTTTCTTGCAATTTTAGGAATATATCTAATTTCTTATTCTCTCGGTTTTGAAACATTGACATCATCTATAAATTATTTTAGCTCACCTGTGATGATGTTATTCTACATATCCACACTCCCTCAAATTATTTATTCAACTACATATATTAAGTTATATATAATACTTCATATTTATTTTCATCATTATAGTTCAGGCCCTTCTTATTGCATGCCTAATTGATAGCAGTTATATTCTAAATAATCTTCCTATTTCCAAACTTATACATCTCCCAAGTGTCTTATTTTGATTATACTTTCTACAGCACTGTACTGATCTGTAACTTCCCTGCTAAAAAATTTTGATAATTCCATATTGCACATGTAAAATGTATCAAAAATCACTTTATAATAATTATCTTGTCACTATTTTTCATGCCTTACTAGGGTAGTAATATTTGAGTATTTTTGTTGGCTTCTTCAAAATGTCAGGTTGACTGGGCATTACCATTCAGGACATAGGCATGGGCAAGGACTTCATGTCTAAAACACCAAAAGCAATGGCAACAAAAGCCAAAATTGACAAATGGGATCTAATTAAACTAAAGAGCTTCTGCACGGCGAAAGAAACTACCATCAGAGTGAACAGGCAACCTACAAAATTGGAGAAAATTTTTGCAACCTACTCATCTGACAAAGGGCTAATATCCAGAATCTACAAAGAACTCAAACAAATTTACAAGAAAAAAACAAACAACCCCATCAACAAGTGGGCGAAGGACATGAACAGACACTTCTCAAAAGAAGACATTTATGCAGCCAAAAAACACATGAAAAAATGCTCACCATCACTGGCCATCAGAGAAATGCAAATCAAAACCACAGTGAGATACCATCTCACACCAGTTAGAATGGCAATCATTAAAAAGTCAGGAAACAACAGGTGCTGGAGAGGATGTGGAGAAATAGGAACACTTTTACACTGTTGGTGGGACTGTAAACTAGTTCAACCATTGTGGAAGTCAGTGTGGCAATTCCTCAGGGATCTAGAACTAGAAATGCCATTTGACCCAGCCATCCCATTACTGGGTATATACCTAAAGGACTATAAATCATGCTGCTATAAAGACACATGCACATGTATGTTTATTGCGGCACTATTCACAATAGCAAAGACTTGGAACCAATCCAAATGTCCAACAATGATAGACTGGATTAAGAAAATGTGGCACATATACACCATGGAATACTATGCAGCCATAAAAAATGATGAGTTCATGTCCTTTGTAGGGACATGGATGAAACTGGAAATCATCATTCTCAGTAAACTATCACAAGGACAAAAAACCAAACACTGCATGTTCTCACTCATAGGTGGGAATTGAACAATGAGAACACATGGACACAGGAATGGGAACATCACACTCTGGGGACTGTAGTGGGGTGGGGGGAGGGGGGAGGGATAGCATTAGGAGATATACTTAATGCTAAATGACGAGTTAATGGGTGCAGCACGCCAGCATGGCACATGTATACATATGTAACTAACCTGCACGTTGTTCACATGTACCCTAAAACTTAAAGTATAATAATAATAAAAAAAAGTCAGGTTGAATACAAAGAAGGAAGAAAACAAAAACTATTAGTTTGGGAGCTCATCTTAATCCCCATTCTTTTATCTCCATTTCAAGTCCTCATTTTGATACTCGTTGAGGTACAAACACTGCACCAAAGCAAGAACATAGATTCTTCTAACCATTCATTATATTCACTCCACATATATATGTGTAAAAACATACATACATAGTTCAAATAAACTTACAATTTCCACTCTTTCCCTGCCCCATGAGGCCAATTTATATTGAATAAGAAAATAGATTATCAATTAATTTACATGAATTATAAGGTAAATTTTGTGACAAGGCACACTGGAAGTGAAATGGTCTATCTTGAGACATATTTAAAATGATGATTATAAGTACTCAAAATTACCGTTTTATACTATTTTGAAGAGATCAGAAATATCCCTATAAAACCTAACTGAAAGTTCGGTTCAGTTCTTGAACAAGTAAAAACTCCCTTTAGAAAAAAATGTATATCCAAAATCACTCACTATATGGATACATTTTCTGAAACTGAATTATGAATATACAAAAATGGCTTTAGAATGTATTCGGTTAATGGTAAATAATTGCAGTTTTTACCATTACTTTCAATGGCAAAACTGCAATTACTTTTCGCCAACCTAATATAAATATCTTGGCATCAGACTCTAGCCATAGTAAAGATCTTAGTCATATCAACTAATTTCAACTTTTGTACTGTTAAGTTCTAAGCATTCCTGCAGGAGTACTAAACATGAATCACATTTCTAAAAATATATTTTCAGTTTTGTTGTCATTTTCTTCCAGTAATTGAAACAAAGCATGGACTATTTGGATAATTTAGAATATAATGAAACAATAATCTAATGAGCAGCAAAGTTAAGTAAATGTTCTGATGCATCCCTTTACTTTCAGGAAATAATAAATAGTAAGCTAATTTTCCTTACAGTTAATTTTGAGTATAGATAAAATATTAATGTAATAATAAGCTGTAATGTAATATTACATAAAAGATAAATATAATTGAACGTTTTTTTATTCATAATGTTTCTCAGTTGTCTCAAGGTTTAAATTTTTTTATCACAGAGATTATGCTAAAAGATTATTTTAAAAGTTTCAAATTAAACTAAAAATGTGAGGAGTAAAACATGACCTGGATAAAAATTAATAAGACAAAAAATGTTATAGTTCAAAATGTCATGTAAGATCCTAAATGTATAATTGTTTCAAAATATGTTTAATTAAATGGAGATATGACATTTTTTCTTAAAAATAAAATTTTGCTTGCTTCATATTGTCGTTCTCATCATTTATACTTTTACCCGTTCAAGTCAATTCTTTGTAAAAATATACACTACATTATATGAACTAAATTGGCTTTATAATTATTTCATTATAGTGATAACTTCAAACATCTATTGGTCACTACAATTGTGTATATTATCTTTTGAGTCTTATGAAAGGAAATGAAAGCTGAAGAATTTAAATATTCTTAGAGAATTCCTGACAAAAAGCTTACATTTTGGCTGGGCCAGGTGGATCATCCTGTAGTCCCAGCACTTTGGGAGGCCGAAGCTGGCAGATCACTTGAGGACAGGAGTTCGAGACCAGCTTGGACAATGTGGTGAAACCCTGCCTCCTCTAAAAATACAAAAATTAGCCTGTCTCACGTAATAAAATTAAATCTCCTTATAAAGACACTTTATGCATGGACTTAACTAACTTTTCCAGCTGAATCTTCCAATCTAGTCTTCATTTAATGAGCTATTGACAAGGAAACAAGACAGAAACACATGAAACAATTGGTAAAAATGCATGAAAGTACAAACCATATTTACTGAATACCTTTGGAAATACAAGCTCTGACCACCAATAGATTAATAGGCTAGAATAATCAAAAGGTTTTTGGAAGACAAATAAATAATACCTTGAAAGGAGAGCAGGATACAAATTAGCTTATGGAAGAGGGATCACCATTTCTGTGAGAAAAGATTAAAGAAGGGGCAATTATGATCTGGACCTTGAATAATATTAAGATCAGTCTGAATATAAGGTTGCATTGATATATGAATGTAAGTGGAATTAGAGTTTAAAAGGTAGTGGGAGACCAGATTGTAGAAGACTACAAAATTAAATTACATGAGCTTTGATTGGTTATAGAAGTAGGACTATGAAAAGAAATCATCTGTGGTTCTTTCTCCAAGTCTAATTGCACAATGTATAACTTTGCTCATTCATCATTTATTCAAAATAATTTCTTGAACTTCTGAAATTCTTCATTTAATGTTGGACATCGTTAAAACATTGGGCAATTTTGGAAAAATAAAATTCATGAGGCAGAAACACAAGTTGTCTCAAGGGAAAGAAGTAACAATCGTTTTTTCAACAAATATTTGTTGAGCAACCTTCTTGTGGTGGGCACTGTTCTCAGGAGTGCCAGGTATAAATCAGTAAGGAGTCTAAAAGACTATGGCAAACTAGAGATTTCCTGCTTTGCTTAAATGCTCTCAGCTTATTTACTTATTTTAATCAAGAGTCAAACAGGACAACTCTTGTAACTTTCCCTGTTGACTTAACCTGACTCCTACCTGAATACATACCTGAGCTGAATTTTCATTGCCCACAGTGACCTGAGTTTCCTAGAGATTCAGAGGAAATCTCAATTCATAGAGATAAAAATGTTCATTGTTTGAGTCTTTTCTTTCAGAACACTCTGAGGATTTCAGGGCATCAACATTGGCTTCTGGAAATATAGCATGAAGAAAAGTTTGAGGAATAGTCAAACAGCTAATCACTTTGTTATTTTATCTTCTCAAAATATTACCATCTGTCAATTGCTAAATGAAAAGCAAAGCTAATTTACACCTCTCTGAAATTCATTTAATGTCAACAAGTCCTCTTTTCAAACAACTGCTGGGATCTTTCCTTAGTTATGGACACACTGAGTCTTTGAAAAGTGATCAGAAGAATTTCAGTTACTTTTAATTTCTGTCAAAATAGGAGGACAGTAACATGAGAAGAGTATGAAGAAAAAAGTCATCATGTATTTTTCCCTTTATGTATGTGCTTACTTGTAAAAATGTTGAAAATAATTTAATGTGTCACCATTTAAATGTAACCAATGATAAGGAAATGGCAATTGACAGTTACATTAGAAAACTAAAGAAGTTATTTCATATAAAATGAAGCAAAAACACATTATTATATTTTATATGTTATTTCATTATGGAGAGTTGATACTAGTTCCCTGTGCAAGATCTGCGTGTATGTGATTTTATCAACAAAAAGAACGTCTAACAACTCTAATCACTGTTAAATAAGCTCTGTGGAAATTTACATGTGAAAAATATACATATATTGACTCAATGTTTTACATATATATATATATATATATATATATATATATATATATATATATATAAAATAGATATTCCAAAAAAAGCTAAAGAAGTTTCAGTATCACCAAAATAATAACAAGAAACAGTATATTTAATTAGAATACATCAATATGTTTTCTGACTAATAAAAATTATTAAAAGTTTACAAGGTCAAATAATTAAGAGTTAAAAAACATTTTAATAAATATATTTCCTACTTTGTTAACTCATTTAAGGAAACAGAATGACATATTGCTAGTTAGCAGATAAAGGAGTAAGACTATTGTTCTTATATTTCACTACCCGAGAATATGTTACTTTCTGTCCCACTAACAAGGTTTATCATTCCTAAATGTGTTACCCTAGATACATCAAATGACTTGCTCAGGGTGTGATTGGTTATTTGTCATAGCTGTGAACTGAAGCTAACCCACCTGTTATGAACCTCAGCCTAATGCTCTTTGCACCATATATGACTGATAGCCATACTTACACTTCCTCCATGCCATAGATACAGTTCCTACAAAATTAACACATTTCCCTTCATACTGGTAGTACATTATTTCACCAAACCAGTGGAAAACTCAATAAAGAAATTAGAAAACCAATTAACAGTAGCTGCATGTGTAAATTGCCATTCACGATTGTGATGTCTGGTATTTAACTTACTGAAAAAAATTCTTTCCTTTGAAAATAGCTAATTTCATGTAAACAACAAAATCACAAAAATTTCATTATAATAAATGAACTACAGTTATGAAAATATGCAGACATAAATTATATGAACATACTGTATGTGTATGTATGTATAGGCAAAAATTGCATGCAGTGTTAAAGGCTCTACATATGTAGGAAGACACATGACATCAGTTTTTTAAAACTCTCTCAGATGCATTTGTGACAATGTATTGCTAATGAGCAGAAAGGAAAGTCATATATGATTTACACATAAAGTAGCTTTCTTTGCATGAAGACTTGTAGAGTCCTTTGCTGACAAAATACTAGCAGAGGTATATACTCAGATCAGATAGTTTCTGATTTTGCTCCTTCTCAAATCTTAACAACTGGTGAATCCATTTGGATTTGTAAAGATAAATTATACCAACTAGAAGAATGAACTCCTTTTGCTTTCTACTGGTTTAGCTTTACAATAAAGTAAAAATGGCAAGTGGAAAGTTTCTGCTTTTAGTTAAACAAATTCAAAACCTTTTTCTTTTTGAAGGTCTCCTTTCTCAGGTTTCCCATTATAAGAGACCCACCCATTATAAGAGGTCAGAGGTAAGAAGCAAACCCACTCATTATAAGAGATCAGAGATAAGAAGCAAAATTCTTCAAATCGTTTATTAGCTGTAATAGTGTAAGGGATGATCCCCACTTCTTACCTTTTATTCCCATGTATGTGAAGCAAGGCTACAGGGAGGGTGATATTATATATTGGCTATGGTTTAAGGCATATAACAAATCTTGTAGAAAACTATCCTAAGTTTGCAGGTGTGTCATCAAGCAGGTGCCACGATTTATCTTTTAGCTGGCTGTTCTGTCATTTCATCAAGCCAGATACTTCTGGATGATGGGACTCATGACGAAAAATGGTAAATTATTTGTGTATGAACCAAATGACTTGTTACAATAAATTATTTTTGTAACAAATTCCTTTGCTTTATAGCAAAGACCCTAGTGAAATGCCTAGAAGCCAAATCTTAGATGAAGATTATTGTAAAATTATTTTATATAATAAATTACTCAAGAAGGGCAGTTAGAATAGGGGGAAAACAAGCTAAGCACAGGACTGCTGAAATCTAGCTTCAGTTTCATCACATGGGGAGGGTATGCAGCAAAAAAGGAACTACAGAGATTTTTCCTTCTCAAGGAAAGAGTGGTCCATTTTAGCTCATACAAGTCTATCACTGGGTGGTATCAATTCTCCAGATAGTGAGAAAGTTATTAACTATTAGCAGCCAATCCTGGTAATGCCAAGGGATGTATACCCTGTCCTAGTGAAGAGTGTTGAGGATGGAACCAGCAGTGTCCACTGCAGAATTGATGTTGTCTGAGATGCCATGGAGCTGGATAAAGAATACAGAAGTCCAATTATGTCAACACCAGTGGGCATCAAAAGCAAATCTATACCTGAAATATGTTTTCCCCTGTGAGGACAGTTCTGATCCTCTATGATTAAAGGGGTTCAATACAATTACCGAGTTAGTACATTGTTACTAGCTGGGAATTGTTACTATCTTAGGAGTTCAGTATTGAGCTCTAATTTTCACAGCAACTGTTGTAGCCAGATCCTGTTAAGGAAAACACCATGTTGTTTTGTCTGCCATGGAGCGTTTTTATACAACTAATTATTGAAAGCTTCCTTCTGTGTAGATAAATTTTTGGTTAGCATATATTTGGTATACAAATATATTCACATTATTCTAAGGAGACCATTTATATACTTGTTTTCTAGATCTCCTTCCACCAATTTTTAAATATTCACTGTGAACTTTTCCAAATTTTGCTCACCTATTAACCACTTCCCATGAGTCCATGTAGATCCAAAACTTAACCATCTTTCCTTCCATGAGAAATGAACAACCAAGCTTATTACCGAAACTGTAATAATTAGAAAGTGAACTTTATAGGGCAGCAGATGTCTACTTATGGCTGCTACCAGAATAATATACAGATTCACCCATAAATAGGACAGCAGTTGCTACTCTTCAAGGAATTGGTGGGTGGACACTTACCATAAGTTTTGGGCTTATGAAGAGGTGTGAAATGAGCAGGTGCCATGGGATTCTGAGTTACGTGCTTGAGTAATTAACTTCTCCCTTCTATTCATGCTCAGTACTAGTCTGTATAAATTTCTTATATTTTATAATGAATCAAGCTGAGCATGCCAAATTTTATTGGGAATCAAAGCTGTCATATTTATTACTTTATTACCCAATGCATTGCACATGAGAGAGTGTTAATGAATATATACTCAAGGAATTATTATTATGCTATTTAAAATGAGAAACATCAAAGTTGTATAAAAATTAGCCTAGTATTATGATTTTATTTTATTTTATTTTTCTTCTCCTATGTTGATTTAGAAAAAGTAAACTTAGCTGCTGTAGTGAAAAAAAAACTTTCAAATATAAGTGGTTTAATAGCCCTTCTTTTCCTATTTATGTGATTTTGAAAGGCCTAGAAATACTACTTATTGCTTTCCTTCACTTTCCCTTAGCTCGAAATTCGTTCCACAACCACTCCTAACCCATGTGATGCTTAAGAGTTGTGGTAAGACTGAGGATTTGGAGGTTGATCAAAGAAGAGATAGGACCATGACAAGCAGGAACATAAAATAAGCTTTCTTGGGCAGCACTGGGACAGGTTTGCATGAGAGAGGAAGTCCCTTTCAGCAAGAGACCTTTCAATAATAGCAGATCCAAAGGGAATAGAGCAAGTATGCTCACTGGGGAGAGGTGGAAATCAGGGAGGAAGATTACGTGCCTAATGATGTTGCTCAGCCACAGGGTCGGAAGTGTGTGGGTCAGAGAGCTCTGAAAGAGTTTAACAGAGTTTGTGTTATCTACAGTTAGCAAATTTTGGGTGCAGTTTTGAAGCATATGAAAAGTAGTTAGCATCCACATGGCTTAAAATGTCCATTTGGACCACATTTAAATCAATTAATTGTACAAGAGTTTGAATTTGCTGCAGTAGTCTTCAGACTAATAGTCCTAGCCTGCTGCAAAGAAGTAAACAGCACAGAGGCCATTTTACGCCAATACACAAGGACAAATTTTGGCCCATGCATATAACAAAAATAATTTAGCCAAGTTGCCAGTGAGAAGAGAAATCGACTTTGGTAAAAATTTAGCAATTTTGGCCAGATTTCCAAATATTTAATTTCTTCCCTTGAAAGAGAGAAAAAATAAGCTGTTTTTTCTACTTCCACACTCAATAAAATACAGAGCACTTCTGATCAGATGTATGGGGGTGTTTCTCTACACACCAAGAAACCAATCCTCTAGCACATATCACCTGACTGTTCTATAATTCAACTTAATCCTGACACTACCTATCTGAAGATAGGATCAGATCCCAGGAGTTGAGGGCTCAGTCACATGAGCATGCCCACCAATTCCAGACACCGATTGTAAGCAGTAGATTGTCACATACACTTCTGATTCACTGGCTACATATTGGGAATTTGAAGGACTCTCCCTCTGCAGAATTGATTAATTTGCTAGAGCAGCTCACAGAACTCATGGAAACACTTTACTTAAGCTTACCCATTTATTCCAAAGATACAGATAAACAGCCAGATGGAAGAGATTCATAGAGCAAGGTGTGTGTGAAGAGGAAAGAATTGTCTTGCCCTCTCCTAGTGCATTATCCTACAGGCAATGCCAATAATCTAGAAGCTCTCTGAACTCTGTCTTTTTAGGTATATATAGAGGCTTCATTACATAGGCGTGATTGATTGGCTCATCTTCAAACCCTCACCTCTCCCATGTGATCAGTGGGTAAGAATGAAAATTTCAACCCTCAAATCTCCTGTTTGCTTCCCCTGGCAAAAATCCACCCTGCCAGGCTATCCAGGGACCGCCCCCACTACCCCCGCCCCCCACACCCCTCACCCTGCTAACAATTGTTTCATTAGCATACGAAGGAACTCATCATTTGGGAGATCTTTTTAGGAGCTGTGTGCTAGGAAACTAGGACAAAGACCAAATAAATCACAATATCACACTTCCTATTGCTTTTTTATTTCTTTTTAAAAATCACTCAAATATAACTTAAATAACAGAAATATTATATTTTCTGTGTGATTTAATATTTCCAAGTACCAAATATTATTCCTTTTTTTCTCTGCCTTTTAATAATTTTCCAATTTTATTAGGTATAATTTAAACATGGAACACTTTACCATTTTTGTTGTATAATTCTGAGCATTCTGCAAAACAAGAGAGCAGTGGCCCGTACAATCAATACATAGAAGAGTCCCCAAAACTTCCCCTGTACTTTTTAATCAAACAGTTTCCCTACCTCAGCACCTGAAAGCAATAGATCTGTTTTCTGTCCCTATGATTTTTTCTATTCCCAAATGCAATGTCAGTGAGATCATAGAGTATGTCGCCTTTTGTGCTTGGTTTCTTCTCTTAGCATAGTGCATTCAAGGTTATCCATGTTGTTATTTGTATTACTAATTTGGTCCTCTATATTGCCTAATAGTGTTCCATTGTTTGAATCTACTACAGTTTATCTATTTCCTCATTAAAACCATTTGCATTCTTTCCAATTTCCAGTTTGGCTGACTATAAATAAAGTCTTTATAAACATTTGAGTACAGGTTTTATGTGAACACAAGACAGCATTTCACTTGACTAAATACCTGGGAGTGGGCTGACTGGACTACATGTATACATCTTGCCTTTAAAGAAGCTGATAAAATGCCTTCCACAGTGATTGTATTATTTCACATTTCCACCTGCAGCTTATGAGAGTTCCAGTTCCTCCAAATTCTCACAAACACTTGTTGTGGTTGGAAATTTTAATTGTAGTCATTCTAAAGGATGAGATTTGCAAATATCTTCTCCTAGATTGTGGCTTTCCTTTTCACTCCTTTAACAGCTTCTTTTGAAGGATAGATGTTTTACAAGTTTAAGTCAAATTTATTACTTTAAAAAGATGTGTTGATTTTATTCTTTTATTTAAGAAATCTTTGTTTAGCCTAATATGATAAAAATCTTCTCTTACATTTTTTTCTAGAAGTTTTAGAGTGCTAGACTTTACAATTAGGTCTATAATTCATTTTAGTTACTTTTTATATATGTTGTGAGGTATTATTATAAATAGTTTAAAATTACTAGTAATTACTTGCTAAAAGTTGATAAAAGAGTGAATTTTAAATTTGTTTTGCCACATGTACAAACACTGGGTAACTGTGAGATCATAGATATGTTAATTTGTTTGAGTATATTAATCATTTCACTAATTATATGTACCTCAAAATATCATGCTGTACCCCTTAATATATAGAATAGAATTTATAAAAATAATTACTACTAGCGGTAAATATTGTCATGGCCTGATGGGTTATTCACGCCCATGGCACAGATAGAACTGATTCACTGAGACATGATATTGCAGTAGAGAAAGAATGTGATCAATGCAGTGCTAGCCAAGAGAAAAGATGGGAATTTATTATTCAAATCAGTCTACCTGAAAGCTTGGAGTCTAGGGCTTTTTAAGGAAAGTTTAGCGGGGAAGGGGTTAGAAAATGTGGAATGTTCATTAGTTGGGTCGAGGATGAAATCTCAGTGCATTGAAACTGTCTTCTTGCCCTGAGTTCATTCCTGGGTGGGGGTTACAAGACAAGATGAGCCAGTGTATTGGTATGGATTACCGGTCCAGGTTCATCAGAATGCAGGGGCTGGAAAATATCTCAAATATCAGTCTTTAGTTTTATAATAGAGATGTTATCTATGTTATCTATAGGAGCAACTGGGAGGTTACAAATCTTGTGACTCCTAAACTGCAATTCTATAATTCTAAATTGTGGCTAATTTTTTCATTTTATACACAGTTCCTGAGCACGCAGGGGGTTAGTTTTAGAAAGGGTTGCTATCATCTTTGTTTTAAAGTTAAACTGTAAACTAAATTCCTCCAATAGTTAGCTTGGCCTACACTCAGGAACGAACAGTGCCACCTTGTTCATTAGAAGCAAGATGAGTCAGTTAGATCAGATTCCTTTCACTGTCATAATTTTTCTATGTCAGAGTTTTTTCACTATCATAATTTTTTCAAAGGTCATTTCAATATAGTGTTATGTTTATAATAAAGAGTAAACTGGTCTTTTGTTTCTATTTATAAATTTTTATCTTTTCTTAAATACTTTGTACACACACGCACAACATAAACATAAATATTTATTCAGCTAAATATATTTCTCTGGAGGGGATGACGTTAAATATATTTAGACATGATTAAAGCTAAAAGCTGTGTGTAATCATGAGAGGGAAAAGTAGCAGTTTCTGGACAGATTTGGAGTGAAATATTAGGGTTTGTGTGAATCAGGAAATCTTTGCTAACTTTGAGAAGAGATTTCTTCTCTACTGAGAAGGGGTTTAAATGTCAAAGAGGCCTTAGCTCTGTAGTGTGTCTTTGTGTGTGTGTATGTGTGTACATTACAGGAAACTGTAGCAGAGCTATGACGAGTGAGCATCACAACTTAGACTTTTTATTATTCAGAGTGTTATGACTGATTTTTGCTTTTTGGACTTCAACTTAAAGCAACATGACAAGACAAAAGAGTTTCAGGTAAAGGAGGTACAACATAACATTGTTAAGTTTAAATTTTAAAATTATTACTCTGGATGAAATGTGCAACATATTGTGGCAGGAGCACAGGGACACGTGGGAAAATAGATTAGCAGGCTACTGAAGGCAGGAAATTACAAGCGTTTGGATATGAATCAGGTAGAATTGGCAGTCTGAAAAGAGATGGGATGAGTTAAGGAACAAGGAAGTGCCAAAGAGGAGGTTTTTTTCTCTTTTGGCTAACAAAATTGTCATTTATTTAAACAGTTAATGGGTGTAAGTGGTTTAGAAAAAGTTTGGTTTTTAAAACAGTGGTTTCGTTATGTCTCTGTAATATGTTTAGTTAGTAACATGTTTAATTTAAGAAGAGATGAAGAAAAATCTGTAACAGTGAAAATTTTTACAAAAGCACAAATTTCATTTAAACTGTATGGAAAGGCATAATCTTTACATTCTATTTCCATGCTATATATATGTGTGTGTGGTGTGTATTTAACTACACATGAATACATACGTGTGTGTGTGTCTGGGTGTATCTTATATGTATAATTTTCTGATTGTGTTCATGTTTATCTTACTTGTGGCTAACTAAAGAAAATCAAGTGATTATTAATGAGTTATTTTCCATAAAATGGAAGGAGCAACTTTCCATAAAGAAGGAATGGGTACTTGTTATTTCAGCTTAAGAAATATAGAAAATTAGGTTTATTTTAAGCAGACCAATTTAATATCAAAAATATTAGAATAAGTATAATGAATTTTTGAATATATTGTAATTCAAGAATGCAAGTCACCATTATATTAGTGGCACAGAGTGCTCACCAATTTGAGAGAACAATTACCTAGTGAAATGAGATACTATGAAAAGCCACTAAGATGACATCTCAAAGAAGTTGGATTATTTAGCATAGCATTTTATGAAAGGAAACTGGCAGTCTGTTAATACAGGTTTCTGTAAGTTCTCCAGAGAAAAAATAGCTCCCCAAATAATTGATCCTCACAAAGAGAGTTTTTTCTTTACTGGATTCTGTTAGAAATACCTCTTTGAGGCATTTAACCTGAATTCAAAAATTAACACAAACTGTTTATTTAATTTCATTTGTATGAGATAATACAATGAAATGTCCAATTATAATTGATATACGTATTTTATTCCAAGAATATATTTTTGCTGGTTACAAATATAAAGCATCTTTATGAGATAAGTTTGTAAATTTCAGAGAAAAAACAACCACACTTCTACCAGGTTGGTGTCTTACTTTGGACTCCTATACAAGGTATTAAAGACTAAGTGGCTTATAAACAGAAATGTATTTCTCACAGTTTCAGAGGCTGAAAGTCAGAGATAAAACAGGTTAGTTCTTTTGAGTGCCCTCTTCCCGCTTGTAGATTCCTGACTTCCTACTATATCCTCTCCTGGCAGAAAGATAATGAGAAAACTCCTGTGGTCTCTTTTTTTTTATAATTTTATTACACTTTAAGTTCCAGGGTACATGTTCACAACGTGCAGGTTTGTTACATACGTATACATGTGCCATGTTGGTGTGCTGCACCCATTAACTCGTCATTTGCATTAGATATATCTCCTAATGCTATCCCTCCCCCATCCCCCTACCCCACAACAGGCCCTGGTGTGTGATGTTCCTCTTCCTATGTTCAAGTGTTCTCATTGTTCAATTCCCACCTATGAATGAGAACATGCGGTGTTTGGTTTTTTTTCCCTGAGACAGTTTGCTAACAATGATGGTTTCCAGCTTCATCCATGTCCCTACAAAGGACATGAACTCATCCTTTTTTATGGCTGCATAGTATTCCATGGTGTATATGTGCCACATTTGCTTAATCCAGTCTATCATTGTTGGACATTTGGGTTGGTTCCAAGTCTTTGCTATTGTGAATAGTGCTGCAATAAACATACATGTGCATGTGTCTTTATAGCAGCATGATTTATATTCCTTTGGGTATATACCCAGTAATGGGATGGCTGGGTCAAATGGTATTTCTAGTTCTAGATCCTTGAGGAATCGCCACACTGTCTTCCACAATGATTGAACTAGTTTACAGTCCCACCAACAGTGTAAAAGTGTTTCTATTTCTCCACATCCTCTCCAGCACCTGTTGTTTTCTGACTTTTTAATGATTGCCATTGTAACTGGTGTGAGATGGTATCTCATTGTGGTTTTGATTTGCATTTCTCTGATGGCCAGTGATGATGAGCATTTTTTCATGTGTCTGTTGCTTGCATAAATATCTTCTTTTAAGAAGTGTCTGTTCATATCCTTCGCCCACTTGTGGATGGGGTTGTTTGTTTTTTTCTTGTAAATTTGTTTGAGTTCTTTGTGGATTCTGGATATTAGCCCTTTGTCAGATGAGTAGATTGCAAAAATTTTCTCCCATTCTGTAGGTTGCCTTTTCACTCTGATGGTAGTTTCTTTTGCTGTGCGGAAGTTCTTTAGTTTAATTAGATCCCATTTGTCAATTTTGGCTTTTGTTGCCATTGCTTTTGATGTTTTAGATATGAAGTCCTTGCCAATGCCTATGTCCTGAATGAAATTGCCTAGGTTTTCTTCTAGGGTTTTTATGATTTTATGTCTAACATTTAAGTCTTTAATTCATCTTGAATTAATTTTTGTATAAGGTGTAAGGAAGGGATCCAGTTTCAGCTTTCTACATATGGCTAGCCAGTTTTCCCAGCACCATTTATTAAATAGGGAATCCTTTCCCCATTTCTTGTTTTTGTCAGGTTTGTCAAAGATCAGATGGTTGTAGACGTATGGTATTATTTCCAAGGGCTCTGTTCTGTTCCATTGGTTTATATCTCTGTTTTGGTACCAGTACCATGCTGTTTTGGTTACTGTAACCTTGCAGTGTAGTTTCAAGTCAGGTAGCATGATGCCTCCAGGTTTGTTCTTTTGGCTTAGGGTTGTCTTGGCAATGTGGGCTCTTTTTTGGTTCCATATGAACTTTAAAGTCGTTTATTCCAATTCTGTGAAGAAAATCATTGGTAGCTTGATGGGGATGGCATTAAATCGATAAATTACCTTGGGCAGTATGGCCTTTTTCATGATATTGATTCTTCCTATCCATGAGCATGGAATGTCTTTTTAAGGGTGCTAATCCTACTTATGAGGGCTCCAACTTCATGACATCACACTCGGGGAAAATATTTTGATTTGTGAATTTGTAGGTGGGAAAAAATAACACTTAGCCACTATTCAGGCCCATCTGCTCCCACCACTCAGCTCCGTATAGTTTCAAAGACTGACAAATATAACTATTCAGAGTTGCTTTCAGCTTGGTTTATTATGAAATCACAGTGAGCAGTGAAAAGAAATTATTCAAGATTCAAGACATGAAAAGGTCATTCTAGCTCTTACTATTTTCTGTTTTTAATCTTCAGAAAATGGGACTAAAATTCAGTAGATTTGACAGTCCTTTCAGGGAGTCTAACAGACATAGATGCCTAAATTCCCCAGCTTCCCTGAAACTTTAATTTCATTTTAGTTTCGATGAATAGCTGAATCAGCACCATTTAAAGAATATCTTACTGTGTTATAAATATGTTTTTCTATTTTTTTTTCTCATGATATTATCAGGTTCATTAGGAGTTTCAGTGTAATAGGCTTGATGGCAGCCTAACATACTAAGCAGTGTCCATTTATTTGCTATCCGTATAACAATACATATACAACTACTTATGTACAAATTATATATACTTTACATATGTATCCAAGTATATATTATATCCATATTTTATATATCTTTATTCATTTATAATTATTAATATGCTATGGATTATTAATTCTTTTTTGTACAAGGCAAAATCTAGTACACAAGGAGCTTAAACCCACATAGGACATGGGATCAAGTAAAGTTAGAAGTTAATAATAGCCAGAAAACAAGTCTATATAGAATCTGAGGCTAGATTTTTAATTTTTCACTATCTTTAATATGATTTAGGTCTTTAAATTCTTGTTGTGCCTACCTTTATATTTTATATTTGAATAAATTGTTACTTGAACCTATTTATACACATACGTATAAATAAAAGTGAGTAATACAAGGATTAATTTAATTTTAAAAAGTATCTGAATAAATAAAATAAATAGTATTATTAAACAAGCATGTGCTGGGAATTTCACTATATGTATGATATAAAAATATATGCAAAATTTCACAAACGATACGATATTTTTTATTTCAATTGCAATTTTGTTAAATTGCTTTGTATTAAGGATCTTCACATGATCAAAGAATGTAGCACTTCTAGAAAATTTAAATCAAGTTTGACACTTAGCATATCAAGAGGCTAGCTCTCTACTGTATCTCATGTCAGAAATTGCTTAAATAAACTTCTAAAAACTATAGTAGCTTATACAGTATCTAAACCTAAATGATTTTAATAGTTTTGTTATTAAATAGGATATCAGGTTGTATTATGATAATTTTATCTGGTTTGGTCCTTTACCAGAGTAGGGTATGATTAATATGTTTGTAATTAAAAATATGTTTTATTGAAAAATCAAGTGAATATTGCTCAGTTATTGTTATTAAATTGGTGGATGTCTATGCTAGCTAAGGTTTCCAAATGTTTGCATTATGATTACAAGACACAAAATAACTGGAAAATTTTATGAAGTTGAGTAAGAAAAAGTAAAAATCAAGAAATCAGATAAGAGATAAATGGCTAAAGGTCATTTTGGGGGACACCCACCAGTGCTTTTTGGAAAGTGAGCATAAGTGAGTTGCTACATTGTGTTGATTAATTAAGTTTTTACTATAGCTGACATTTTTTCTTACGTTTTCTTTGCAAATTGTTCAGACAATTCTTTTTTTTTTTTTTTTTTTTTGAGATGGAGTTTTGCTCTTGTTGCCCAGGCTGGAGTGCAATGGCCCGATGTTGGCTCAACACAACCTCCACCTCCTGGGTTCAAGAGATTCTCCTGCCTCAGCCTCCCAAGTAGCTGGGATTATAGGCATGTGCCACCATGCCCAGCTAATTTTGTATTTGTAATAGAGACGGGGTTTCTCCATCTTGGTCAGGCTGGTCTTGAACTCCCAACCTCAGGTGATCCGCCCGCCTCAGCCTCTCAAAATGCTGGGATTACAGGCATGAGCCCCTGCGCCTGGCCTATTCAGACTATTCTATTCAAGAGAAAAGGAAATTTCTATTAAAAAGTGTGGTCTGTATCTTTTTAAAATTTTGTTTCCTTATTACTATTCAGTTTTTCCAATTTGTCAAAGATAAAAATATTTAAAACCATAGGCAGGTGTATAGTAAGAGAGATTTTATTTTTACATAAAATTAAATAGTCTACCCTAGCTTCCGATAAACTATGTTACTAAATGAAGAAGGATATAATAAGACCCAAAAGAACAAGACTAAAAGAGAATCATGTTGACAAAACAGGATGATATTTGTTTTCTTTCCTAAATCTATATCCTTGAGTAGTCATCATATTTATTTTACTATTTCTGACTTCCATTTTTAACGATGTCTAGGCAGAGAACACATCAATAAACAAAACAAAGAAAAACAGCCAATTTCCACTGTGATGTTACATTCACTGGATAATTACTCAGTTTGTCTGCCAACTTTGTTGTAAAATGGAGAAGCTATTTCTTCTTGGCTCTGTCACTCCTGGGCAGTCTGTCCTAGATATCTGTACCCATCTGTGCACACAACCAAGCCTTTATCCCAGATAAAGGTGCTGTTACACCTTTAGAAGTGTATATTTATTTCTTGTTCTTAAAGTTTGTTGGACAGTGTCACATCTATAGAAGGTAATAATAGTTTACTTTCATAGAACTTCCTTTCTCCTGAAAGCCCTTACCTTTTCTTCAGAAAGGGTAATTTTATCTGGTTATTCATGTGAAGGGCAGCCCTTTTTGTTGATGGGAATATTGGTTGACTGTATTTTTTCAATGAATATTCATAATAGAAATGTAGATTTAAAATATACATGTGACTGCTTCCATCAGATACATTACTTAAGATAGATTGTGTTTAAACTTTACAGGAGTAGAGGTTCCATATATCTCCCTATAGTATTTTCTGGTTGCAATTATACCCTGCATTAACATTTATTTTTCTAAATAATTTATTGACCCATTATTCCTAAAATCTTTTTTTACAATCTGTTTTACCTTAAGCCTTGGAGGAGATGCTACAAAATACACAACAAAGATGCCATTTTTTAACTTCAAGGAATTTATCCTACTGGAAGAGTAAACCTAATTATTCATTAGAATTGATTAAACATTTTTCCTTGTTTTGTTTTCCCTTGAGCTAATTATGAATCAACAAAAATTTATTAAGCCCTACTGAATCCCAGAAACTCTGCTACTTGCAAGCATAAAAGACATAAGATATTTTCCCTGTAAAAACAGAAAATCATTATTTGCTGATTTTTAAATTCATACATTTTTATGATTTACTAATAAGGTAGAAAACAGCTAATTTGAAAGATCTACTATACTTAAAAGTTTTATACTTTATCACCCTCTTTTTCAGGGAGAAAAATGAATATACATGAAGTAAAATAAGATCAGTATAAATGCAAAATAAATACAGAATACAATAAAATCAATTAGCGCATTTCTGTGATTTTTTGTTCCTTACTTTGTAAACTTTGTGACCTGATGAGTCCCATACTTGCCTTTTCTGAATGTGAAATCTGGATTTGAGACTATATTTAAAATAGTCACATTTACATTATGCATATAAACAAATATGTTTTTGTTAGCATCTGAGATGCCATTTTTGTCTCAGGTAAATACTTTGTCCAAAAGATAATTGCGACAAGAAGATGCTATGATGTTCTATCAATAGCAAGGCTGTTCATTGGTTAAAAAAAATTCTGTCTATCAAGAGTTTTCTGTGAAGTCTGGCTGTTCACTCTAATCACTAACTGAAGTAGCAAATTGGTGTTATGTACATGCATTTAAGAGAGGTAACAAATGATTTAATTGTGTTCTCTCTTAATATGCAGACCCTTTCAATAATTTGCCACTCTACCAATTTATGAAATAATAGGGATAATAATAAGAGCTTGAGAAAAATCCTATTCACATACATTGAAAGGAACTTGAAGGTAAGTTTTAACTGCATGATTCCTTGCATTTTCTTTTTATAGCTTTAAAAACATTATCATTTATTCATTTTCTACATATAGAAATTAGGGAATGTTGTCATATTTTTTTCTAGTTCTTACTGATATTACACATTTGAAAGAGATTTCACACCAGCAAACTAATCATAGAGCCCCCACATCATTTACTTCATTTCAATTTTGAAAATATCATGTTTGCTTTTTGTTATTGTTTGAACAAAAACATTAATGGCAATTTATTATTGTGAATTATTTATATTTGTTTTTTCCATGATTTCTTCATTATTTGCATGTCATACTCTTCAAACTTACCTCATCTGAGGTGGAATTTAATCAAGATATTGGTAGAAGTCATACATGTACCTGAAACAGTTAAAAAGATAATGTGCATATTATCTGTATTTTGTCCTCTCACGCAACTCGCTAAACAATTTTTTCTCTCTCATGATTTGGCATATAAACACTAATGTTTATTATTTGGAAGATAAAAATTAATGTCTAAAGAAATGTTCTAATAGTTCTGAAAAAGAAGAGAATTTTCACAGAGGGTAGATTATTTACTGTTCTAAGTGAAGATTACAAATGTCAAACATGAAAAAGTCATATCAGAAGTCAAAACGCAACAAATAAGAAGAGAATCTACAGATGAGAATTTGCGTTCTAAAAACAGACCATTGAGAGACAGAGAGCATCAGTGAGAGCGAGAGAGAGAGACAGGGAGGGAGGTAAGTGATAGTAATTCCTAGAAAGGGTAAAAAGCTAAAGGAAAAATAATGTCAATTAAAATAATCTTGCAACTGAGTTCAAAAAAGACAGAAAATTTCTTCAAAAATAAATGTGAATATTTGTTCACTTTGGACATCTCATTAATCAATTAAAAGTACTTTAGAAATTTTATTTACATGATTTCTTTTTTGTTTGTTTTTTATTTTTTATTTTTTATTTTATTTTTAATTTTATTATTATTATACTTTAAGTTTTAGGGTACATGTGCACAATGTGCAGGTTAGTTACACATGTATACTATACATGTATTTGCATGATTTCTATAGTAACTTCAGAAATTAGAAAACTCCATAATTTCATTTTATAAAGTACCATTAAAAATGTAATAATTGTGTAAATATATATAAGACCAAAATTTTCAGTTTTTCTTAATCTAGGTTAATTAATGAATAATTTATATGTAATAAAATCCATCCTTTTTAGTGTACATTTCTATTTTTTAATAAGGTGTAAATTTAATCATGATCTCAATTAAGATATAGAACATTTTCATTGTCCCATAAAATTTCCCTACTATTCCATAGTCAATCCCCACATTTCTCCTGACTCTGGCTCCTAAAATGTTCACACAGATATGTTTATGCTTTTTTGTTTTACACAAGCTTTTTTTAAATTCTAATTTTGTTATCAAACTTTGAGATGTTTAATAATCTTCCCAATTAAATCAAAGTACAAAAATGCTCTTTAAAAATATAAAAATAGTTCGTTTCAGTTCTTGTTTTTATAGAAAGAACAATCTAGACAAAGTGCCTGTGTGTGAGTGTGTTTATATGTGTGTGCATAAACGTGTGTTTGTGTGTTTACTTCCTTTGGCCAATTAACGTAGTAAGTTGAGATGTACCTATAAATAACTCTTTGTCAATTTGTCCTATAATTTACTTGCACAAGTTTGAAAATTTTCTTTCTATTTCAAAGGTTTGGTTTTCCTTTTTCGTATCAACCACTTAAATATTGTTTGTTCATAAATTTCCTTTATAATTCTAAAAGCTATGTTTTCTTATTTCATTGTAGTTATTACTGTGTCACTTGTCAGTTCTCCAAGAATTTTCCTGATTACCTTTGATTTTTTATTATAATTCAAATTATTTTTAGATGTGTTTGATAAGTTAATAATTTCCTTTTTCTGAAAAAAGTGGTTTTAAAGTTCTAAGTTGCATTGATAATTTTTCTTAATATCAATAAAACTGAAATCTGAAATTAAACTGTTCTTAGCATGGAAAATCCGATGCATTCTAAGTCTGATAATTATGAAGTCTCAATTCCTCAGTTTTAAACTGACAAAAATGAGACTCATAGAGAATGTCATGTTTGAAGAACATAAATTTAATTAACAAAACATGTATGGTGTGTTTATACTTTACATTCCCTGAAGTCTTGTGATAGACTGGAGAGGCGCCTAGAGCTCATGTTAGGACAGCTATGAGCTAACACTTGCTTTGCCACCAACCACGTGACTTTCTATGTCACTTAAACTTTCTAGGCCCTATTGTTTTTCCCCCAACCACTGCCCTCCTCCAACCTGCTGAATAATAAATGGGTATCCCAATGGTCTTTTCTATTTCGGAAATGTACCTAATGCAAGTTCCTTGAAATATATTATATTTAAAAATAGCTACCTGTAAATAAATGTATTTGCAAAGAGAGGGCTTCATGAGGTGGCATGATCTTTACTAAAAACACCTTGTAAACCTATCACATTTC
Organism: Homo sapiens; assembly: GCF_000001405.40. Classification (NCBI taxonomy): domain Eukaryota; kingdom Metazoa; phylum Chordata; class Mammalia; order Primates; family Hominidae; genus Homo; species Homo sapiens. Next base: position 134,842,804 of record NC_000004.12, on the reverse strand, counting down.
TGACATAGAAAATTTACAGTCAATTAACAAGATAAACTAAATCTTAACTAGGGTTCTCTTAGTTTAATTAAGATATGGTTAACTTATGCATTAAAAACCTCTCAGGAGTAGGAACAGTGTAACAATTGAACAAATACACACGTCATTCTTTTGTATTTCTAGTGAGATTTCATTGGACACATTAATTATGAATTTAATCCCCAGATTACAATACTTTTTGTTAGCCATCACTGTAACAATGTACTTTAAGATAGATATTTTCTTAATATTTTAGTGTGTTACATTTCAATGATTTTTGTCATGTCTGAACATCCAGTGAGTAATCACTGTACATAATATTTTTAAATACCAATGACAGACATTATAAGTATATTCTAAATATGTATTAACTTATTTAATGAAATTGTGCAGTAACCTTCACAAAACAAGCAAATGTGGCTTTCAAGGCATGGAAAGCACAGTGAAAATATTAATTATAATATTTAAAATTGATTGCAAATAATTATTACTCTCATCATGGAAAATAGCAAAATATATTTAACTATTAAATTCAAAAACATAAAAATTTAATATGCATAGTGAAGAATTAACAGGAAAACTTGTGAAAGGAAATTATAATTATTAATAAAACTGTAAGACTAAACTATATAAAATAATCTACTTGATTTATTCAGAAAATATATCCTGTTACTTAAAATTCATATATATGTATATACATGCATATATGTAATCTATCCCATATATTACTTAAAAAGTAAGTTGTAAATAGAGTCAACCAATAATTTATCAGAGGAATAAAATCAGTTTTTTAAAAGAAATATTTCCAGTCATTATAAAACTGTCTTGTCTTGAGTGCATGTGTCTGTGTATGTGAAAGTAAAAGGGAAGATAAATTCAGAACCATTGGATCAACTTTCCATTTTGTAAGAAGCCTGTGGAATTCATCCAAGCATGTATCTGCCTAGGATGTCAAAGAAAGATGAGAAATGACATTTTAGCTCTATTCCTGGATGAAACATGAAAATTCAAAGAAGTGGTAATATATATTTTGATGATGTTAAAGAAATTGAATTTCTCAAAAAGTTTTGTTTGATATCATTTTGGAAAAAAAGTGATTTGTTCTGTCTATTGCATTGGGCTCCTAAAGAGTTTCCTCTTTGACATTTTTATTCTTGGTAAAAAATCATAAAATTCTGCAATCAAATTTGGATAACAAATTACCATTCATAAACCTGTATTCCATACATTCATATTATAGGGAATTATATATAATTACTTTTCATAGGCAAGAGCAAGGTTTCATATGAATTATTAATGAGAGTTGAATGTCTAAATTACTGATTCTTAAAAATCAAAATCTTATAGTCTTTATTACACTCTAACATTGCATTTTGCAGAATATCTCTTTTGTGCAACATTTTTGAGGAGAAAAAGGATGACATCTAACATTGTATATATGAAAAATGCACACCTAATAATAATAACATATATCATTAATTCTGAATGACATTTTTATTTAAACATGATTTTTCAGTATGCACATATTTCTCCACAGGGAAATGATGTATAGGCAATCCCCAAATTTTCAGTGATTATTTTCAAATAATTTTAAAACCAATTACTGACAATGACAACATATTTAAGCCCTTTAGCTGTAATACAGCAACATACCATGTAGTATCAAAGCTTTACAATTTCAATACAAAGCAATTGAAAGCAACATTATTACATTTGAACCAATAATTAAAGTGCATTGTAAAATATCTAGTACAGGATAAAGAAAATACCACCCCCCCAAGTCTTGAAAGACAAGTGCCTCCTAGAAATATCCTCCACTCCATTACAACAGATGTGTATGTTAGTCAACTTTCAACATGGGTCAAGGGTGAGCCTCACATACCATATGGCTCTAAAACATGCCGAGTCTCTTCCAAGAATAGGTTCATGTGACATCCTGATCTCTTTATACTCTTTATCCCTGCTTTTATCAAGGTCCAAAAGTCCCAGGTCACTCTTCATCTTGGGTTGCCATAAGGTTCTGTATATTCTCTATTCTAATCCTACTTTCATGTCTCTCCAACTTCTGAAATCATCTCATTGGTCCTACAGTCCCTCAACATTAAAATCCTCTCCGTCTCTTCTCTCTTCTCTAACTTTGACCTATTGGAGGGCAATGTTTAACAAGAGAACACAGCTTCTTCTGTAGCTCTCTAAATTGGTAATATTATTTTCTCCAACAAGCTTTACATCAGTAGGCAAGGAAGTTAAGTATTTCTTTGTCTTGTTCCTCATTGTAACTTCCAGCACTTTCTCTTTCCCTCCTTCCTAAAACTTTCAGCAATGTGTCTCATGGTATTAGTTTAAATATCTACAACACCCCTGCTGTTCTCATCTGATTCATGTGCAAGTCCCCCTTCATTTCAGTTATCCCACCAAGTGTATTTTTAGTCTCTTCAAAGCTACCCTTGTCTTATTTTTGGGAATTTCACTCTATAGTTAGATGATACTTTGGAAATTCAAGTATCTCAGTGTCTTTAATTCTTCTCTTCTAACATTATTTTCTCTACGTACCGCAGCTTCTCTCTGCTATGGTCATTTGCTAGATGTCATCATTATCACAAACTACAGCCCCTCTTTAATTTAAATGTAATGGATCCTTTTGTCTAACCAGCATCTTCTTTCATTTCAGTTTATTTCAGTTCGCTCTCCGTAGTATCCCAAGTACATTTATTCTTCATTTTCACGAATACCTCCAATCCATGGATTCTACTAGGTTTTCATTGTCCTTCACTCCATATTTATCCTACCTTCCTTCTTTACTTGGTTTAAATTTTATTGTCAGTCATCATAATTACTCCTTTGTATACATCATCAATTTTCTTGCCCTTGTCATGTCTTTTTTATGTGTTAAATTCAAATGTTTGTTCACTCCATGCTTCTACTTATGCCATCTAATGTATCTAGAAGAACACACTCCAAAATACTGGGTAACATTCCTTTAAATTTATGCTTACTAGCCTCATTAATGCCGCATTAAAATTACTCAATATTTCTCTTGTCCAAATCTTCTAAATGACGATTTCACACATTCTCTTCACTTCTCTCACTAACAACCCCTTCTTCTTCATTCCCACTTCTAGCTGATGAACTTATTTCTTGCTTAGCTGGACAAAGTCAACAAAGAATTTCTACAGACTCCCATCATCACAACATCTAGCTGCTAATAACACTGCATGTAACCATTCCATAAGTCACAATTCTTGTTTCATTTTACGTGAATGGTACTCACCAGTGTAAAACTCTAAAGAATATACTCTTGCTGTTTCTAACTCCCTTCCTCCAATTCTTTCATAAATCTATGCCAGTGGGCTTTTTGCTCCCACTGCTCAACGCAAAGCTGTTCTTGTTAACCTTCATGTTGCTAAATCAAATGGTAACTTCTCAATCTTTATATTACCTTACCTATAGGTAGAATTTTACAAATATGAACTCTTACTTCCTTCTTGAAATACATTATTGACTTGGATTCCAAGTCATCATATCCTATTGATTCTCCTACTACCTTATTTATTACCTCTCTTCAGTCTCTGACTGGTTTTCCCCTTTTCTTTCTGATTTCTTAATTTTGAAAGACATTAGGGCTCAGCTCCTTATCCACTCCTGACTTCTGTTCATATTCACTCATTTGGTTATCTTATTCAGGTTCTTGCCTTTAAATGCCATCTGCATGTATGTAAATGACTACCACATTTGTGCCTACAACCCGGAGTCCTACACTATGTTCAAATTATATATATAACTTCATATTCAATTTTCTGTTTTAGAAATATGTTTAAAATTTTTGTATCTGAACAAGAGTAAGAAGTCTATATTTCTCATTTTATCATACATAAAATTATAAATTACCAATTTCTGATTAAAGAAACTCTTAAAAATGTCAAATATGCTCAATTTGGTAAAAATTATTTCAAATTGACAGCTATTATCATAGATAACATATGCTATTTTCACTACCAGACATTTCATATTTAATGTGTCATGAACTCATGCCCAAAATGTCCTATTCCTGCAGTTTTGGCCACCTCAGGGAACTCTGTCTTTGCAGATGTTCAAGGCAATAAATGTGAAAACATACTTGATTTATCTCCTTTTCTCACAGCATACCTAGAATCTGTCAATAAATCCTGTTAACTCTACCTTCAAAATATATTCAGAAACTAATTACTTCAATTATTTCTACTCAATTCTACTCACTTTCACCTGCTCAAAGATACTATCTGTCCCCAAAATTACTGCATTAGCATCCTAACTTGTCACCCTAACTCCACATTTTCTCCTCCTACATTTTATTCTCAAGCTTACAGCCACAGTCATTATGTCACTCCTCTGCCTTAAAACCCTTCATTTCCTTTCTACATTACATAGAATAAAATTCAAAATCCTTAAAATAACTAACAGATTTATACAGGAGTTGACTTTTAGCTAGAAAATTATACAATGCCACTCAGTTAATTTTAAAATCTATACATAAATCTTAACATAGAGCAAACAAGTAAAACAAAACATAAAATCTAGCTATAAAATTATAGGTATAAAATAATATAACAGCATTAAATTCAAGGTATGTATTATGGACACTTAAAAGCAATAGTAACCTGGTTTAGCTGACAGTTGCAATGATCAAGTTTCAGGGTGTAGTTCACGGAATAACTTTATGATAAATTCTGTATTACCTCAGGTTGCCTTATAATTAGGCTGCATTACCTCGGGTTGCTTACAAATAGGAAGTTAGTATATAGATTACATTTCAATGACTAAGACTTAGGGAAATCAATAACATTGATACCAGTATAACAAATTAAATGGCAACACATACAATTCTTAATTATAAGACTACATACTATAACAAAATAGGATTTATCCCATAAATACAAAACTACTTACATATGATGCCTCCTAACTAAATATCAAATAGACGTAGTGAAGACGTTTGAATATATGAATTACTCATTCAACTAAAACATTTGAAAAGTCAATCAAAATCTTTTTTTACAAAGTTAAAGATTATTTTTAAAAGACAGCCAATATCATACTTAATGGGAAGTTGAAAATTAAAAGCTCAGTTAAATCACTCATATCATCTACAATAACAAGAAAGATTTGTATTTATAAAGTAAAATATGGTATGAATTCAAACCTTCACAGAATATGAATGTATCATGTTAAGAACTGAAACAACATGGTCATTGTCATAGTCCTGATATAAAGGAATACCTGAGGTTGGGTAATTTACAGAGAAAAGAAATTTATTTGGCCCAGTTTTGCTGTCTCTACCAGAAGCATGGTGCCAGCTTGCCAGCTTCTGCTTAATGTGAGCGTCTCAGGCTGCTTCCACTCATGGTCAAGGTGAAGGGGCACAAGAGAGAAAGGAAGAGAGATGGGAGAGGTGCCAGGCTCTTTTTACCAACCGGTTCTCATGGGAACTACTTGAGCTTGAATTCTTCTCCCCTCCATCCCCAGGGAAAACCTTAATCTATTTATGAGAGATCTGCTCATCACTCAAACACCTCCTATGAGGCCCCCGCTTCCAAAATTGGTATCAAATTTCAACATGAGTTATGGGGATACAAAGGCCAAACTATAGTAGTCATCAAAAGAAATAAATGAACGATTGAATAAGTACATACATATGTAGATAAAAGGATTCGAAAGGAGCATACTAGATTGTTTTCTGTTGTTGACATTGGTTGATACAAAATTGGGTAGTTTTTAAAATATAATTTTCTGTTTCTTTCTGTTTATTAATTAAAATTATGTATGCTTTATATTTACAATGATAAATACTCAAAAAATAATGGATACTACTGATTTTTGTGTGTTTATTTTGTCTTGTAGCTTTACTGAAGTTGTTCATAATTTTAAAGGTTTCTTTCTTAAGTCTTTAGAGTTTTCTATATATTAGATCATGTTGACTGCAAAGAGGGACAATTAGTTTTTGTCTTTTCCAATCTGAATGCCTTTTATTTCTTTCTCTTGCCTGATTGCTCTGACTATAACTTCCAAAACTATGTTAAATGAGAATAGTGAAAGTGGGCACTCTTGTGTTGTTTCACTTCTTAGAGAAAATGTTTTCAGCTTTTCCACATTCAGTATGATGTTAGCTAGCTGAAACATAAATTAAAAATGGAATCCCACTTACAATAGCTACAAGAATAAAATAAAATAAGGTATCAATAAATAAATTTAACCTGGAAAGTGAAAGACCTCTACTAGAAAAATTGCAAAACACTGATGAAATAAATTGAAGAAGGCACAAACAAATGAAAAGATGCCTCATGCTCATGGATTGGAAACGTTAGTATTGTTAAAATTACCATACTACCCAAAGCAATCTACAGATTCAATGTAATCCTTATCAAAAGACCAATGACCTTATTTACAGAAAGAAAAAAAAATTCTAAAATTGTTTTGACTACAGAAGACCCCAAATAACAAAAGTAATACTAAGAAAATAGAACAAAGCTAGAGATGTTACACTACCTGACTTCAAAATATACTATAAAGCTATAGTAAACAGCTTGACATTGGTATAAAACAGACATATAGACCAAAGAAACAGAATAGAGAACCCAGAAATAAATCCATGCACTTACAACCAAGTCATTTTAAACAAACGTGCTAACAACATACACTGGGGAAAGGGCACCCTCATCAATAAATGGAACTGGGAAAACTGGGTACCTGTACGCAGAAGAATGAAACTAGACCCCTATCTCTCACCATATACAAATCTCAACTTAAAATGGATTAAAGATTTAAATGTAAACCTGAAACTATAAAAGTACTAGAAGAAAACAGGGAAATGATTAGGACATTGGTCTAGGCACCAATTTTATGGTTAAGACCAAAAAATCACAGATAACAAAAGCAAAAATAGACAAAAGAGACTATATTAAACTAAAAAGCTTTTTTTGTTGTTTGTTTTTTGTTTTGTTTTATATATATATATATTTTTATTATACTTTAAGTTCTAGGGTACATGTGCACAACGTGCAGGTTCGTTGCATATGTATACATGTGCCATGTTGGTGTGCTCCACCCATTAACTCGTCATTTACATTAGGTCTAAATCTATCCTTCCCCACTCCCCCCACCCCACAACAGGCCCCAGTGTGTGATGTTCCTCTTCCTGTGTCCAAGTGTTCTCATTGTTCAATTCCCATCTGTGAGTGAGAACATGCGGTGTTCGGTTTTGTGTCCTTGAGATAGTTTGCTGAGAATGATGGTTTCTAGCTTCATCCATGTCCCTACAAAGGACATGAACTCATCCTTTTTTATGTCTGCAAAGTATTCCATGGTGTATATGTGCCACATTTTCTTAATCCAGTCTATCACTGATGGACATTTGGGTTGGATCCAAGTCTTTGCTATTATGAATTGTGCTGCAATAAACATACGTGTGCATGTGTCTTTATAGAAGCATGATTTATACTCCTTTGGGTATATACCCAGTAATGGGATGGCTGGGTCAAATGGCATTTCTAGTTCCAGATCCCTGAGGAATCACCACACTGACTACCACAATGGTTGAAACAGTTTACAGTCCCACCAACAGTGTAAAAGTGTTCCTATTTCTCCACATCCTCTCCAGCACCTGCTGTTTCCTGACTTTTTAATGATCGCCATTCTAATTGGTGTGAGATGGTATCTCATTGTGGTTTTGATTTGCATTTCTCTGATGGCCAGTGATGATGAGCATTTTTTCATGTGTCTGTTGGCCTCATAAATGTCTTCTTTTGAGAAGTGTCTGTTCATATCCTTTGCCCACTTTTTGATGGAGTTGTTTGTTTGTTTTTTGTAAATTTGTTTGAGTTCTTTGTGGATTCTGGATATTAGCCCTTTGTCAGATGAGTAGATTGCAAAAATTTTCTCCCATTCTGTAGGTTGCCTGTTCACTCCTATGGTAGTTTCTTTTGCTGTGCAGAAGCTCTTTAGTTTAATTAGATCCCATTTGTCAATTTTGACTTTTGTTGCCATTGCTTTTGGTGTTTCAGACATGAAGTCCTTGCCAATGCCTATGTCCTGAATGATATTGCCTAGGTTTTCTTCTAGGGTTTTTATGGTTTTGGGTTTAACATTTAAGTCTTTAATTCATCTTGAATTAATTTTTGTATAAGGTGTAAGGAAGGGATACAGTTTCAGCTTTCTACATATGGCTAGCCAGTTTTCCCAGCACCATTTTTTAGGGAATCCTTTCCCCATTTCTTGCTTTTGTCAGGTTTGTCAAAGATCAGATAGTTGTAGATGTGTGGTATTATTTCTGAGGGATCTGTTCTCTTCCATTGGCCTATATCTCTGTTTTGGTACCAGTACCATGCTGTTTTGGTTACTTTAGCCTTGTAGTATAGTTTGAAGTCAGGTAGTGTGATGCTTCCAGCTTTGTTCTTTTTGCTTAGGATTTTCTTGGCATTGTGGGCTCTTTTTTGGTTCCATATGAACTTTAAAGTAGTTTTTTCCAATTCTGTGAAGAAAGTCATTTGTAGCTTGATGGGGATGGCATTGAATCTATAAATTACCTTGGGCAGTATGGCCATTTTCACGATATTGATTCTTCCTATCCATGAGCATGGAATGTTCTTCCATTTGTTTGTGTCCTCTTTTATTTCGTTGAGCAGTGGTTTGTAGTTCTCCTTGAAGAGGTCCTTCACATCCCTTGTACTTTGGATTCCTAGGTATTTTATTCTCTTTGAAGCAATTGTGAATGGGAGTTCACTCATGATTTGGCTCTCTGTTTGTCTGTTATTGGTGTATAAGAATGCTTGTGCTTTTTGCACATTGATTTTGTATCCTGAGACTTTGCTGAAGTTGCTTATCAGCTTAAGGAGATTTTGGGCTGAGACAGTGGGGTTTTCTAGATATACAATCATGCCATCTGCAAATAGGGACAATTTGACTTCCTCTTTTCCTAATTGAATACCCTTTATTTCTTTTTCCTGCCTGATTGCCCTGGCAAAAACTTCCAACACTATGTTGAATAGGAGTGGTGAGAGAGGGCATCCTTCTCTTGTGCCAGTTTTCAAAGGGACTGCTTCCAGTTTTTGCCCATTCAGTATGACATTGGCTATGGGTTTGTCATAAATAGCTCTTATTATTTTGAGATACCACCCATCAATATCTAATTTATTGAAAGATTTTATCATGAAGGGCTGTTGAAATTTGTTGAAGGCTTTTCTGCATGTATTGAGATAATCATGTGGTTTTTGTCATTGGTTCTGTTTATATGCTGGATTACATTTATTGATTTGAGAATGTTGAGCCAGCCTTGCATCCCAGGGATGAAGCCCACTTGATCATGCTGGATAAGCTTTTTGATGTGCTGCTGGATTCGGTTTGCCAGTATTTTACTGAGGATTTTTGCATTGATGTTCAACAGGGATATTGGTCTAAAATTCTCTTTTTTTGTTTTGTCTCTGCCAGGCTTTGTTATCAGGATGATGCTGGCCTCATAAAATGAGTTAGGGAGGATTCTCTCTTTCTCTATTGATTGAAATAGTTTCAGAAGGAATGGTACCAGCTCCTCCTTGTACCTCTGGTAGAATTCGGCTGTGAATCCGTCTGGTCCTGGAGTTTTTTTGGTTGGTAAGCTATTAATTATTGCCTCAATTTCAGATCCTGTTATTGGTCTATTCAGAGATTCAACTTCTTCCTTGTTTAGTCTTGGAAGAGTGTATGTGTCCAGGAATTTATCCATTTCTTCTAGATTTTCTAGTTTATTTGTGTAGAGGTGTTTATAGTATTCTCGATGGTGGTTTGTATTTCTGTGGGATCGGTGGTGATATCCCCTTTTATCATTTTTTATTGCATCTATTTGATTCTTCTCTCTTTTCTTCTTTATTAGTCTTGCTAGTGGTCTGTCAATTTTGTTGATCTTTTCAAAAAAATCAGCTCCTGGATTCATTGATTTTTTGAAGGGTTTTTGTGTGTCTATCTCCTTCAGTTCTGCTCTGACCTTAGTTATTTCTTGCCTTCTGCTAGCTTTTGAAATGTATTTCCTCTTGCTTCTCTAGTTCTTTTAATTGTGATGTTAGGGTGTCAATTTTAGATCTTTCCTGCTTTCTCTTGTCGGCATTTAGTGCTATAAATTTCCCTCTACACACGGCTTTAAATGTGTCCCAGAGATTCTGGTATGTTGTGTCTTTGTTCTCATTGGTTTCAAAGAACATCTTTATTTATGCCTTCATTTCGTTATGTACCCAGTAGTCATTCAGGAGCAGGTTGTTCAGTTTCCATGTAGTTGAGAAGTTTTGAGTGAGTTTCTTAATCCTGAGTTCTAGTTTGATTGCACTGTGGTCTGAGAGACAGTTTGTTATAATTTCCGTTCTTTTACATTTGCTGAGGAGTGCTTTACTTCCAACTATGTGGTCAATTTTGGAATAGGTGTGGTGTGGTGCTGAGAAGAAAGTATATTCTGTTGATTTGGGGTGGAGAGTTCTGTAGATGTCTGTTAGGTCTGCTTGGTGCAAAGCTGAATTCAATTCCTGGATATCCTTGTTAACTTTCTGTCTCGTTGATCTGTCTAATGTTGACAGTGGGGTGTTAAAGTCTCCCACTATTATGGTGTGGGAGTCTAAGTCTCTTTGCAGGTCTCTAAGGACTTGTTTATGAATCTGGGTGCTCCTGTATTGGGTGCATATATTTAGGATAGTTAGCTTTTCTTGTTGAATGGATCCCTTTACCATTATGTAATGGCCTTCTTTTTCTCTTTTGATCTTTGTTGGTTAAAAGTCTCTTTTATCAGAGACTAGGATTGCAACCCCTGGCTTTCTTTGTTTTCCATTTGCTTGGTAGATCGTCCTCCATCCCTTTATTTTGAGCCTATGTGTGTCTCTGCAGGTGAGATGGGTTTCCTGAATACAGCACACTGATGGGTCTTGACTCTTTATCCAATTTGCCAGTCTGTGTCTTTTAATTGGAGCATTTATCCCATTTACATTTAAAGTTAATATTATTATGTGTGAATTTGATCCTGTCATTATGATGTTAGCTGGTTATTTTGCTCTTTAGTTGATGCAGTTTCTTCTTAGCATCAATGGTCTTTAAAATTTGGTATGTTTTTGCAGTGGCTGGTATCAGTTGTTCCTTTCCATGTTTAGTGCTTCCTTCAGGAGCTCTTGTAGAGCAGGCCTGGTGGTGACAAAATCTCTCAGCATTTGCTTGTCTGTAAAGGATTTTATTTCTCCTTCACTTATGAAGCTTAGTTTGGCTGGATATGAAATTCTGGGCTGAAAATTCTTTTCTTTAAGATTGTTGAATACTGGCTCCCACTCTCTTCTGGCTTGTAGAGTTTCTGCCAAGAGATCAGCTATTACTCTGATGGGCTTCACTTTGTGGGTAACCCAACCTTTCTCTCTGGCTGCCCTTAACATTTTTATCTTCATTTCACCTTTGGTGAATCTGACAATTATGTGTCTTGGAGTAGCTTTTCTCGAGGAGTATCTTTGTGGCGTTCTCTGTATTTCCTGAATTTGAATGTTGGCTTGCCTTGCTAGGTTGGGGAAGTTCTCCTGGATAATATCCTGCAGAGTGTTTTCCAACTTGCTTCTATTCTCCCTGTCACTTTCAGGTACACCAATCAGATGTAGATTTGGTCTGTTCACATAGTCCCATATTTCTTGGAGGCTTTGTTCATTTCTTTTTATTCTTTTTTCTCTAAACTTCTCTTCTCACTTCATTTCATTCATTTGATCTTCCATCACTGATACCCTGTCTTCCAGTTGATCGAATCGGCTACTGAAGCTTGTGCATTCGTCATGTAGTACTCATGCCATGGTTTTCCGCTTCATCAGCTCCTTTAAGGACTTCCCGGCATTGGTTATTCTAGTTAGCCATTCATCTTATCTTTTTTCAAGGTTTTTAACTTCTTTGCGATGGGTTCCAACTTCCTCCTTTGGCTTGGAGAAGTTCGATCATCTGAAGCCTTCTTCTCTCAACTTGTCAAAGTCATTCTCCATCCAGCTTTGTTCCATTGCTGGTGAGAAGCTGCATTCCTTTGGAGGAGGAGAGGTGCTCTGATTTTTAGAATTTTCAGTTTTCTGTTCTGTTTTTTCCCCAACTTTGTGGTTTTATCTACCTTTGGTCTTTGGTGGTGGTGACGTACAGATGGGGTTTTGGTGTGGATGTTCTTTCTGCTTGTTAGTTTTCATTCTAACAGTCAGGACCCTCAGCTGCAGGTCTGGTGGAGTTTGCTGGAGGTCCACTCCAGACTCTGTTTGCCTGGGTATCAGAAGCAGAGGCTGCAGAACAGCGAATATTGCTGAACAGCAAATGTTCCTGTCTGAATATTCCTCTGGAGGTTTCGTCTCAGAGGGGTACCCAGCCGTGTGAGGTGTCAGTCTGCCCCTACTGGGGGGTACCTCCCAGATAGGCTACTCAGGGTTCAGGGACCCACTTGAGGAGGCAGTCTGTCTGTTCTCAGATCTCAAACTCCATGCTGGGAGAACCACTACTCTCTTCAAATCTGTCAGACAGGAACATTTAAGTCTGCAGAGGCTTCTGCTGCCTTTTGTTTAGCTATGCCCTGCCCCCAGAGGTGGAGTCTAAAGAGGCAGGCAGGCCTCCTTGAGCTGCAGTGGGCTCCACACAGTTTGAGCTTCCCGGCTGCTCTGTTTACCTACTCAAGCCCCAGCAATGGCGGGTGCCCCTCCCCCAGCCTTGCTGGCGCCTTGCAGTTCGATCTCAGACTGCTGTGCTAGCAATGAGCGAGGCTCCGTGGGCGTGGGACCCTTCAAGCCAGGCGCAGGATATAATCTCCTGGTGTGCCGTTTTCTAAGACCATTGGAAAAGTGCACTATTAGGGTGGGAGTGACCCAATTTTCCAGGTGCCATCTGTCACGGCTTTGCTTGGCTATGAAAGGGAATTCCCTGACCCCTTGAGCTTCCTGGGTGAGGTGATGCCTCGCCCTGCTTTGGCTCACTCTTGGTTCTCTGCACCCACTGTCCTGCACCCACTGTCTGACAAGCCCCAGTGAGATGAACCCGGTACCTCAGTTGGAAATGCAGAAATCACCTATCTTCTGTGTTGCTCACACTGGGAGCTGTAGACTGGAGCTGTTCCTATTCAGCAATCTGGGAACTGCCCCTCCAAACTAAAAAGCTTTATACAGCAAAGAATACCATTAAAGGAGTGAAGAAACAACGAATAAGATGGTAGAAAATATTTATACCTATTCATCCAAAAAGGAACGGATTTCCAGAATACACAAGAAACTCAAACATCTCAACAGCAAACATACACACAAACACACACACACAGAGACACATAAACACACACACAAATGTGTTAAACAGTGGGTGAAATATCTGAATAGATATGTCTTCATAAGAAGACATACAAATACCATTTTCACATCAACAGGTATGTGAAAAAATGCTCAGCATCATAAATCATCAGAGGAATGCAAATTAAAACCACAGTGAGGTATTATCTTGCCCCAGTCAGAATGGCTATTATAAAAAAGGCAAAAAAATAACAAATGCTGGTAAGAATACAGAGAAAAGAGGACTCATATACACTGTTGACAGGAATGTGAACTGTTACATATATTATAAAAGGTATTATAGTATGGAGGTTTTCTCCAAAAACTAAAAATAGAACTACCATCCCATCCAGCAATCCCAGTACTTGGTATTTATCCAAAGGAAAGGAAATCAGTGTATCAAAGGGATATCTGTACCCCTATGTTTACTGCAGCACTTTCGCAAGAGGAAAGATATGGAATTGCTTAAGTGTCCATCAACAGAAAAATGGATAAAGAAAATGTGATACATCTACTCCATGAAATACTATTCCATCATTTAAAATAAAATGAAATTCTGGAATTCTCAGCAACATGGGTGAACCTGGATGGCATTATGTTAAGTAAAATAAACCAGGCACATAAATACATATATCGCATGTTCTCACTCACATATGGGAGTTAAAACGTTGATCACATGGAGGTAGAGAGTGGAATGAAAGTTACTAGATATGGAGAATGGTGGGGTGGGGAAAATGAAGAAGGCAGTTAGCTGGAATAATTTCTACTGTTCAATACCTAGCAGGGTGATTATAATTAACAACAATTAATAGTATATTTCAAAATAGCTAGCAGTGAAGATTTGAAATGTTGGCAACATAAAAATAAAATTTTCAAATGATGAATATGAAAAATACCCTGATTTGATCATTATAATTTGTATATATGTATCAAAATATCACACATAATCCATAAATATGCAATTATTATATATCAACTTTTTAAATTGGTAATGAAACTAAAGATGTTTTCAAAGATATTTTCCCCTCAAAGTTTCTGTGATCTTTTTTTTTTTCACCTAAAGTAGATTTTCCTTTTTCTGGACATATAGAGTTAAGAATTTTTAATCCTATTTAAATACATATTTTATTGTTTCAAGTCATGACATCATTGCACATGTCAAAGTTTTTAAATAATATCCTTTTAACAGTATGTTGAAGAAATTTAATAGACTTATCAATTCCAAATTTTCTACTGATGCACAACAGGAATACAATAGACATGACACAAACAAATTTAATTGTATCATCCGTTGTACCTTGAGTTTTGGATGTTTCATACATTTAAGATACCTTATAGGAATAAATGGTGAAAACTTATCTAAAATGAAATCCTACTCAGTTACTGAATTATATTAATCTTTTTTTCTTTTTAAGACAGAGTCTCACTCTGTCACCCAGGCTGGAGTGCTGTGGCACGATTTTCACTCACTGCAACCTCTGCCTCCAGGGTTCAAGAGATTCTCCTGCTTCAGCCTCCTGAGTAGCTAGTACTACAGGTGCATGCCACCACACCCAGCTAATTTTTGTATTTTTAGTAGAGACAGTGTTTCACCATGTTGGCCAGGCTGGTCTTGTACCCCTGACCTCATGTGATCTGCCTACCTTGGCCTCCCAGAATTCTGGGATTACACGTGTGAGCCACCACCCACCCTGCCCTGAATTATATTCTGAAAACAAATAGATAAATTTTAATAACACATATTTATAAGGACTCAGAAGAATATCTTAAAAGGATATTTAGGTTCTTAAAAATAAGTTTCTATAAGCAAGACTTTGGATTATACATTTACTCATTACACATACAGAAAATGCTTTTATACATACAGAAAATATTTTTTTTAAATTTTTATGCTACTGGCATTTTACAATAAAATATACTTCTTATTGCACTTCTGTATCCATGATAGTATCAAACTGTTAATTCATCCTTACATGGATTTTTTTATTTTTTCTATTAATTTTAAATAATGAAAGCTATGGTAATTTCATGTCAAATAATAGGTACTTCAAGGATGATATCACTTGACAAGAGTTTTTTGTTTGTTACTTTTTCCTTAAAAGGTTAAATATAATTTAAGAGTGACACAATATTCCTGACAGGTTCACAGACCCATAACACCACAGCTCTGTGTAGACTCAACTACTTTATTAGGCTTTAGAAAAATTCTCTGCCTCACTGTATATTGAATGTTCAAAGTCCTGGTAGCCTCCAATAACCTGAATGCTGTGCCACTCATGGCTCGCAAGTTGTAATGTGGAACATTAAAGAGTGAAATAAGATAGTCTGATAAAAATTCACTAAGAAAGGTGAATTTTGATGAGTAATTCTTATTTTTGATTTAGAAATTTAAAAAATAACTAGAATAAATTATAGGAATAGGAAAAATATCCTTAGGAAGTCCAGATTTATTTTCATAGGTAAAATGATTTTAAATATAAAATATGCTATTTTTAAGTGTTTTTGAAACACCTGCCTTTATCATTGTACAATACTATAAAATGTTAAAACCATTAGCAGAATAAAATGTTATGTATTTATATTTGTTCTGTCACTCTGTTCATATTCCACTTTACCACTCTAATCTCTCATCTGTCTAATTAGTCTCCTTGTCTCAAAACTTATATCCCTTTGAATCATCTTCTCATTTTAACATTTAAGTTGGATAATGCTATTTCATTCTTTCTAACACTTCAAAAACACCTTAATGCGGAAGGTCTAAATTTCTTAACATGTCATGTAGTAGTGTGCCGGAAAAGTTTTAACACCTGGCAGTGAGGGGAAAAAGTCTAATTTATAGTGTTTGTCTATTTTCAGTGTGAAACTAATCTCATCATATCCCATTTCGAGTTACCAACGGTGACATAAATGAACTAAGCTAGTGAATAGATTCTGTAGAGCAGCACTTGAAACCAAATCCAGCCCACCCCTTAATGCAATACTCTGTTTCCTGTCTCTGTTCTTGTCTCATATCCTACCTCATATTGCATTGTCACTTAAAACTTACAGAACGCATGAGACACAGAAGGCTTCAATGTGACAAATGTCATCATGCCTCTATGTTGCATCTTTTTAAATTCAACTCCTTATGCCTTCAGTTGCTCCTCCCTATACCAATTTCATTTACCCACACGTTCACACAACTATTCATTTACATTCATTTGTTCATTATGTAATAATTATTTATTGAAGCCATTCTAGGAAGCACTTACTGTTTTGTGTTGGATATAGATACACTTAACAAAACTCCATAACATGAAAACAAAAACTGCCATGAGAGTTACAGGAGTTGAAAAAAAAAAAAAAAACTTAGTTGATAAGACAGAAGGATTTAACTAAACTGAAAAGTCAAATGAATCATGAGAAATAATTATATTAATAACCCAATAACTATTATTAATATAAATTCTAAACTAAATGCACACTGAGTAATATGATACCTTGAAATTTTGGCAATTACATGTTATAATTTTAAGTTTGAAATATTTTTTCTTACTACTAAAGATACATTGACAATTTTACATAAATGACAATTTATACAGAGTTGGTTAATGTGCTTAGGCTAATAGGTAACAAGTGAAGAAAACAGAATTGTGTCTACGACACAATTATAGATCACTAGATCACTATACAAATAGTTGGAAGTTGTGGGTATTTCTGACACTTCCATTGACTGCTTGATCCTAAAAGCTCATGTCTTTTCATCTATAAATTGGGATTCTGTCTTGCTATAACAAAATACCTTAGACTGGGTAATTTATAAACAACAAAAATTTATTGCTAACCGTTCTGTAGGCTAGGAAGTTCAAGACTAAGATACGAGCAGATTCAGAGTCTAGTGAGGGCTTGCTTTCTTCTACAAAGATGGAGCTTTTGATGTGTTCTCACATGGCAAAAGGGACAAAAACTTCCTTGGGCTCTTTTGTAAGGGAACTAATCCCATCCACAAGGGCTCCACCTTCATGACCTACTCACCTCACAAAGGCCACTCCTCTTATACCAACACATTGGGGATTATATTTCAATAAAAGAAATTTGGAGGGACACAAACATTCAGACCATAGCAAATTGGAACATTTGTCTTTTGAAACCAATACAGGATCAGATAAAATAATAAATATAAACAAAAATGCTATTGAATTTGGGGGAAAATGGCATCCAAATAGTATTAATACCTTTATACTTCAAATAAATGTGGATTTTTAAAAATTCTGATAATAAAGGGTAGCACAATGCAGTGGTATAATAAATAGTGTAGTCTTGGAATATGGATTGCTATTAGCTATAGCCAATAATAAATACTTAATAAAGTATAAGAGTTCTCTTATTATTTTTAGATGAAGTAATATATTTGCTGAATTCCTTTCAGATAACATTTGCCAAAGTTGATTGTGTTCTTCAAGTCATTTAATGCTAGTTGATATTTTGCCTTGCAGTGCTGGATAATTAAATGTACAATTAATTTTTTTTTCACAGACATGGAACTAGCAAGAAGTAATTCAATGCTTTCTGTAATACATTCAAAGTTTGGTATGGGATATAACTTCGCATTTTAGGATATGCTGCTGGAGGCTTTACCACTCAATTCATTGAACACAAATCAAGGCAATTCTAGCTTAGGCTAGAAATATATATATTCCAATACAGGCCAGTGCTGTGTTTATGCAAAAGAAATCGAAAATAAAATCAGCAGAAATCTGAATATTATGTCTGTATGGTAGTTAGGGTATTTAGAAATTGCATGTTTTATGAATTGTTACATTTCCAATTAAAACCTTTTAATCAGGTAGATATAATCTAAAATATTTGTCTTTTGTGCTGCTTTAAGGAGTAGTGCGAAATTGTCTGATATCGATTTTTAGAAGATAAACAGAAAATATTTGATTTTTTCTCTACTTTGTTTTTTATAATCATACAAAGTCAGGAGATAGAAAACATGGAATTGTGTTGGTTCTGCAAACCCCATCTGTACAATTATTAATAGTAGTTATTATCTCCCTCGTTATAACCATCATTTTCAAGGCACAGTCTAAGTTCTCTGGAAAATACAAACATAAATAAAAACATTCCCTCTGTTCATGTTTCAACATAATTGTAATAAAAAGTCAACAATAGATATTTAACAACATTTAAAAAGAAGCAAATCCAAATGATTATGGAACATAGTTTTTTAGTTATCAAATTTTATAAATATATATCTTTATTATGTGTCCAGATGTGTATCAGAAAACAATAATGTATGTTTATCAATCTTTCAATATATTGAAATTGTTTCATACCATACAAAGGTAGTAGAAATTATATATGTACACATAGTAAAATATTTATCTTAAATAAACTTGTCTACATATAATAATTGTAAATATATGTAGACATGTAACTGCAAGAATGTTTAATGCAATGCTTTTTGAATAGTAAAATAGAATAAACCTCTTAAATGTTCAAGTTGGAAAATGAGATAATAAATTATTCATTGAGTCATTCATCAGATCTGCAGATACTAATTTTTTCCCCAAACACTGTGCTTTCTCCTGGGCATATAGGAATAATTAAGATAGATATCAGTCATTATTTTTTTCAAGCTATCTTTGAAGAAATACATTACACCAAAAATTGTGGTAAAGAAAGAGTCCACATCAAGTGAAATACCAAAATCTGTAGATATAGGGCTGAGAAACATAAGTTATTCTATGAGTTGACAAATGTTTCACTGAATCAATGTAGGTAAGAAAAGGTCCTAAATATTAAGTGTGGTAATGGAGGCAAAATGTTGGGAGGAACCATAAAAGCCGGCGCTCAAAAGTTAGAGAGCCACATGCGTGGAAGGCAATTAAAGTCAAGCATGGCTCAAATGCAAAATTTCAAAAATTTTATTAATAAGAAATTTTGCTGAATAGAATTCAAGGAAATATATACCTTTGAAAGAACCATTGTAAGGTATATGAAGAAATTTGAACTTTATAATTTAAAAATAAAAAGTTCATATAGGGACTGAATGAGAATGATGATTAGTCTAACTTCAGGAAAGATTGTTACTGAATAGAAATTTGGCAAAACTATAATTGAAATAAACAAAGATGAAAGGACCTGGAAGATATGGTTATAAATAGAATTGACAACATATTAACTGATTGAAATAGAGAGTAGGGGATAAAGAGATGTTTTGTACAACCTAAACCCTAGGTATTTTAGTAAATGGTAGTATTATGTGGGGCCATAGAGACCTCTGAAAGAACAATAAGTTTTCATGCAGAAATGGTGCATTCAGTTTTTACAAGCTGACTTTGAGATGTGTAATAGATACAGAAAACCAAAATGAGAGGTATGTATGTCAAAATGTAAATAGCATTGTTCTCTTGGTACTAAGATTTTGAGCAAATCTTATTTTTGACTGCAATTTCTAAGTTGCTCAGAAGTAACCTCTCATGCCTTTAGTATTACACAAATAATACTTTTTTTTTTTGCTTTTTTTTATTTCAATAGTTTTTTGGGGAACAGGTGGTGTTTGGTTACATGAACAATTTCTTTAGTGGTGATTTCTGAGATTTTGGTGCACCTATCACCTGAGCAGTGTACACTGTACCCAATTTACAGTTTTTTATCCCTCACACCGCCCCCCACCCTTTCCCCCGAGTCCCCAGATCTCATTGTATCATTCTCATGCCTTTGCATCCTCATACTAAGGTTTTGCACAGCAAAAGAAACAGTCAGCAGAGCAAAGAGATGACTCAAAGAGTGGTAGAAACTGTCACAATCTATACATCCAACAAAAGACTAATATCCAGAATCTGCAAGGAACACAAACAAAACACCAAGAACAAAACAAACAATCCCATCAAAAAGTGGGCTAAGGACATGAATAGACAATCCTCAAAAGAAGATACACAAATGGCAAACAAACATGAAAAAATGCTCGACATCACTAATGATCAGGGAAATGCAGATCAAAATCACAATGCAATACCACGTCACTTCTGCAAGAATGGCCATAATCAAAAGGTTAAAAAACAATAAATGTTGGCATGGTAAAAAGGGAACACTTCTACACTATTGATGGGAATGTAAACTAGTACAATCACTATAAATAACAATGTGGAGATTCCTTAAAGAACTAAAAGTAAATTTACCATTTGATCCAGCAGTCTCACTCCTTGTTATCTACCCAGAGGAAAAGAGGTCATTATACGAAAGGATACCTACACACACGTTTATAGCAGCACAATTTGCAATTGCAAAAATATGGAACCAGCCCAAATGTCCATCAATCAACAAGTGGGTAGAGAAAATATGGTATACCATGGAGTACTACTCAGCCATAAAAAGGAACAAATTAATGGCATTTGCAGCAACCTGGATGGAATTGGAGACCATTATCCTAAGTGAAGTAACTCAGGAATGAAAAATCAAACATCACATATTCTTACTCATAAGTGGAAGCTAAGGTATGAGGATGCAAAGGCATAAGAATGACACAATGGACTTTGGGGACTCAGGGAAAAGGGTGGGAGAGGGGTGAGGGATAAAAGACTACACATTGGGTACAGTGTACACTGTTGGGGTGATGGGTACACTAAAATCTCAGAAATCACTAAAGAAGTTATTAATGAACCAAATACCACCTGTTCTCCCAAAACCTATTGAAATGAAAAATAATAATAAAATAGAATTATGTCAACACAGACTAAAATGTGGCCATGGGTTTATTCCTGCACATATGATATATTTATAACAATTTTTGATGTTTATTACAATCTTGTAAATAAACACACCAATGATTTCGGTCAAATATTTAAAGCAATACAATAATTTTAAGCCTTTTTCATGAATTTTAACTGTCAGATAAGTAATTGAAATCAGGCTATTTTATAATATAGCCTTCATAAATTCTCCTATATGAAGCACATTCTGATATTTGTGAGAATTAAATGAATTATTAAATAAGAAAAGAATTAAATGAGTTATCACTTAAGAAATAGTTGGAACTGTATTTGGCACATAGCATTCTACACAGTTAACTTATTAAAAATGCATAACTGCATGACAAATAGCACTAAGTTTGCTGTAACTAGATACATAGTGAATATTTGGGAACTAAGTACTATGTTAGGATTGGAGATTTTTCTAAAGATAATCTTTTGAAAGATAATTTTTGCTCATATTCTGGGGTAGTTTTAAAGTAGCCCTACTTTATTTCACAGTGGTTGATTATGCAAAATGTGTAGATTTTTCTATATGAAAGAAAATATAGGCAAAATTACAAAAGGATCATCCTTATACCATGTTTACGAAAACATTGTCCAAATGTGAATCTAATTGTTTTGTTTTCCCCCCGGTGAATTTTTGTAGAGTTATGCTATTGTGATAGAAAGAAAGAGTGGAAATATTATATTACCTTAGTTTAATGGCTACAGCAAAATGATGAAAATAATGACTATAGAAAAATGATGAAAATAAAGCAATTTGGAATTAGGGAAGCTGAAAAAAGAAAAGAAATGGTGAAGCCTTAAAGGAAACAAAATATGGTTTCATATTTTTATCCAAAATTATTTAATGTGCTGTAAATATGTATAACCACACAATCTAAGTCTTACAAATAAGTTTCATTCAAAACCTTGGAGAAGAAAAGTAGAAGGAAGAGTATTTTATACTGAAAACATTTCTACTCAGCAGAACCTATACCTGAGCAACATTCTGTTAATAAAAACTTAGACTTAACATGCAAATTCTCTTTGCATGCATGAGAAAGACTCCACACCTTCATTTGAATAAGGACCATCCTTAAGGTAGTGAGTGACAGTAAAACTTTCTGACACACTGCCATTTATTTAAGCTGCACAATACTAGATCTGTTATATAAAACAACTCTTTCTGTCTTGGTCTCAAGAATTTCTTGACTTGTAGAACTCTGTAGAGATTCAAGTACAGATAACTCACAATTTTCTTTCCTAAGAACTTCATACAATAGTCATCAAAACTGTTAGGGGTTCAGTTGTGTCCCTCCAGCAAAGATATGTTGAATTTCTAAACCCTAGTATCTCAATTAGAATGTGACATTGAAAACAGTGTCTTAGTAGTAGATTTAATTTGTAAACATGAGTTAATTAATGGGGTGTGTCCCTAACCGAATATGACTGGTGTCTTTAAAAGAATACTTCCCTATGAAGATATGAAAACACACAGGGAGAATGCCATGTGGCAACAAAGGCAAAGATTGGAGTCATGTGGCTTCAAGTCAAGGAATGCTAAAGATTGCTTGCAGATCACTGGAAGTTAGAAAGAGACAAGGAAGGATTTCCCCTATAGCTTTCAGAGGGTGTGTAGCCCTGAGAAAACTTTGATTTTGTTCTTCTAGCCTCCAGAACTGTAAGCTAATAAATTTCTGCTTTGTAAACCCACCCTATTTGTATCTACTTTATTACAGCAGCCCTAGGAAGATCATACAAAGACCTAAAGGATTTCTCAGCTAGAGTCTCTGTATATGTAGACATTTCTTTCTACATACGTGGTGCAAGTTATTTGCTCATTACATCTCTCCTTCCTTATTTATTGTTTAGGGAACTACTTCCTAGTCTGATATAAAGTTACTTAGTTTGATTCTAGATTCCATTCCACTCTATTATAAATGTGACCTTAATTAACCTTCTTAAAATACATTGGCTTTCAAGGACAGCTTCCTTGAAAACAATGCTGCAGTGCTAGTCAATTGCTAAAGTAATATCATTTCATAAAGCTGTTCATAGAAATGGCCCTTGAATATTAAAAGCTTCCATAACTTGGAACTTATGTAAACATTGTAATATAAATGTAACTTATCTTGGCTTCCAAAATGACAGTCTGAAAGTTAGAATAGAAAAATGCCTTTTAAACACTGCTCATAGATAATGTGATAAAACTATAATATAACAAGCATATAATTAAGAATAGCATTCAAAGAAGCTTAAATTTAGAGAATTCTAAATATATTTACATGAAATTAGCAGCTTATCTTTACAATTGATTATAAAATAAATTGAGAATGTAGGTAGAAATGTTTATTTTGTATTCATATAATGTTCTCAATATCAATTTCCTCTATGTTGAAAATATGACACACTATAATTCAGAAGGTCTTAATTTTTTAACACAAATTTTATTAAAAATTCATTTACAGCACTGCTAAGAAGAAAGGTTTAAAGTATTTGAGATTAAATTGTTTTGTTAGCTCACAGTCTACAAACGTACAGTTTGTAGCCCTAATAATAGGCTTTTATTAAACAAATATATGTCAACTTTCAGTTAGAAGGGCTCCATATAAAGCTATAATTACTACTCATATTTCTTAAGTATTGCAAAAGTTAAGGAATGGTTTAAATAAGTGAAGGTATAGTTACCAGCATGTCTTACTCAATATCTGAATATTTTAGCTGCTATTTCCCTCAGTGGAATTTAAATCAAAATAAGAATAGCTTGACCAACTACAAAGATAATTACTTAATTCAGTATAGCATTTTAGACCCTGCCATTAAGTAAAAAAAAAAAAATTATAGTTTTTCTAATATACAATTTTCTAGGAAAATAAGAATAAAGGACTACAAATATATTATTTAATAGTAACATAAACATTCGCAGAGTGACTTTTGAGACATAAGCATGTGTTTGTTTCTTGCAAACATGAAAGTAATACCCTATATGTTAATCACCACAAATGGAGAAGATCTCTTAAAAAATTAGATTACCCATAAATTCACCTAAAAGATATCAACACCATTCAACTAATCAAAGTATTTCTTGCCAAGGTCCTATGTCATTAAATATTTTTGTACTATATGCTCATGACTGCTTGTTTTAAATCATGGGGATGACTCAGGATTTGTATCTATTAATGGCTTTTAATTGTTGCCAGTGTTTTATTGCAACAAATATTTCTGTTATGAACATATATATAGGTAAATCTTCAGGCACACTGAGTTTAACTTTTAGAAGAAGGATTAAGAGTCAAAGAGCATATGATTATTGCTATGTTGTCTTCTAGAAAGAGGCTGCCAGTTTATACTGAAGAATTCCTATTAAAAGTAAAATAACACAATATAGATATCGGCCTGAAGTTTTCTTTTTTTTGGTTGTATCTCTGCCAGGTTTTGGTATTAGGATATTGCTGGCTTCATAGATTGAGTTAGGGAGGAGTCCCTCCTTTGAAATTTTTTTTGAATAGTTTGTAGGAAAGGTACCAACTCCTCTTGGTACATTTGATAGAATTCAGCTGTGATTCCATCTGGTCCTGGGGTTTTTTTAGTTGGTAGGCTACTTATTACTGCTTCAATTTCAGAACTCTTTATTGGTCTTGTGGGGATTCAATTTCTTTCTGGTTCAGTCTTGGAAGGGTGTATGTGTCCAGAAATTTATCCATTTCTTCTAGATTTTCTAGTTTATGTGCCTAGAGGTGTTTATAATATTCTCTGATGGTTGTTTGGTATTTCTGTGGAGTCGGTGGTAATATCTCCCTTATCATTTCTGATTGTGTTTATTTGAATCTTCTCTTTTCTTCTTTATTAGTCTAGCTGGTGAGCTATTTTATTAATTTTTTAAAAAAACAACCTCCTGGATTCATTGTTCTTAGGGTAGTTTTACTGTGTCTCCGTCTCCTTCAGATCTGCTCTGATTTGGGTTGTTTCTTGTCTTCTGCTAGCTTTGAGGTCTGTTTGCCCTTTGTTCTCTAATTTTTTGGTTGATATTAGTGTTGCAGCCTAATCGCTCCTCAGTTCAACTAGGTCTAAGTTCTTGTCCCATGACCAAGAAGAATAAAGCACGCAGACACCAGAGAAGGAATAATGTAGAGCAAAGTTTTATTAAGCAACAGAAAAGTTCTCAGCAAAGAGAGGGGACCCAAAGAGGGTTGCCAGAAATGGGGCTGTGTTCTGGGGCTTTTATGTGGCAAAGATGAGGAAGTCTTCAGTGGTTGTGCCCAAATGGGAGGGGCAAAGTTCCCCCTGGGGGTGCTGCATCTAATCACCAAGACAAAGGGGAAAATGCCTCCAGGTTATGTCCTAGGCTTCTGGGCCTGTGATGGGAGGGTATGCCATTAAGGGAAAAATAGTTTCCTGGGCTAGGTCCAGGTGCCCCCTACTGTGTGAAGCCTGAGACTTGGGGCCTTGCCTCTCAGCTGCTTCAGCTTTGGCTAAAAAGGTCCAAGGTGCAGCTCAGGCCATTGCTTCAGAGGGTGTAAACCCCAAGCCTTGGCAGCTTCCATGTGTTGTTGGTCCTGCAAGTGCACAGAAGCCAAGAATAAAGGTTAGGGAACCTCCGCCTAGAATTCAAAGGATGTGTGGAAATGCCTGGATGTCTAGGAAGTAGTTTGCTGCAGGGGCAGAGTCTTCATGGAGAACCTCTTCTAGGGCAATGTGGAAGGGAAATGTGGGGTCAGAGTCTACACACAGAGTCTCCACTGGGGCACAACCTAGTGGAGCTGTGAGAAGAGTGCCATAATTCTCCAGGCCGCAGAACGGTAGATCTATCAACAGCTTGCACTGTATTCCTGGAAAAGCTGGAGATACTTAATGCCAGTCATGAAAGCAGTGGGAGGGAGGCTGTACCCTGCAGAACCACAGGGTCAGAGCTGACCAAGGCCATGGGAGTCCGCCTCTTGAAGACATCAACATGTCCTGGATGTGATACATGGATTCAAAGGAAATCATTTTGAAACTTTAAGGTTTAATGACTGCCCTATTAGATATAGGACTTACATGGGGCCTGTAGCCCCTTCATTTTGGCCAGTTTTTCCCATTTGGAAAAAATGTATTTACCCAGTGCCTGTTCCTCCATTGTATCTAGGAAGTAACTAACTTGCTTTTGGTTTTACAGCCTCATAGGCAAAAGGGACTTACCTTGTCTCAGATAAGACTTTGGACTTGGACTTTTGAGTTAATGCTGGAATGAGTTAAGACTTTGGGGGAAAGTTGGAAGGGCATAATTGTGTTTTGAAATGTGAGGACGTGAGGTTTGTGAGGGGCCAGGGCAGAATGATATGGTTTGACTGTGTTCCCCCACAAATCTCATTTTGAATTATAGTTCCTATAATCCACAATGTGTTGTAGGAGGGACCCAGTGGGAGGTAATTGAATCATGGAGGTGATTACCCTCATGCTGTTTTCATGATAGTGAGTGAGTTCTCATGAGATCTGATGGTTTTATAAGGGACTTTCCCCTACTTAGCTGGTTCTTCTCCTTCCTGCCACCATGTGAAGAAGGATGTGTTTGCTCCCCCTTCCAACATGATTGTAAGTTTCCTGAGGCCTACCCAGCCATGCTGAACTGTGAGTCTCTTTCCTTTATAAATTACCCAGTCTCAGGTATGTCTTTATTAGCAATGTGAGAACAGACTAATACAATCTATTATTAAAAATCAAAAAATAACATGCTGATGAGGTTGTGGAGAAAAAGGAACACTTACACATTGTTACTGGAAGTGTAAATTAGTTCAACAATTGTGGAAGATGGTATGGAGATTCTTCAGAGACCTAAAAATAGAAATATCATTTGATCCATCAAACCCATTACTGGGTATTTACCCAAAGGAATAATAAATCATTCTATTATAAAGACACATGCATGCAAATGTTCATTACAGCACTATTCATGATAGCAAAAACATAGAATCAACCTAATACCCACCAATGATAGACTGGATTAAGAAAATGTGATATGTATACACAATGGAATACTATGCAGCCATAAAAATTAACAAGATTATGTGTTTCACAGGGGCATGAATGGAGCTGGAGGCCATTATTCTTATCAAACCAACCCAGAAACAGAAAAACCAAATACCACAAATTCTCACTTATAAGTGGGATCTAAATGATGAGAACACATGGACACACAGAGGGGAATAACATACCCTGGGGCCTATCAGAGGCTGGAGGATAGGAGGAGGAAGAGAATCAAGAAAAATAACTAATGGGTACTAGGCTTAATACATGGGTGGTGAAATAATCTGTACAACAAACCCCCATGACACACGTTTATCTGTGTAACAAACCTGCACATATACCCCTAAACTTAAAATAAAGTTAAAAAAAGTTACACCTTAGAAAAAGATCTTAGGATTTAATAATCATTGATGTTTGAAATGTAGCTGTGGTTTGATTGATATGTCTAAATTTATTTTTCCATATATATAATTTTGTACATAGTTAAAATATAGTTTACAAACAATTTGAATTCTACCTTTTTCCTTTTTGGTAGCAAGTTAATTTGCTGCTGAAAAATTCTCACATTTATTATGAGTACATTATAGTTCATAAAGTAGACATGCCCTTTTTCTAAAGAAGGAACTCAGGTCATTTCTAATTTTCCATAAAAATTTTTACCTTTTATACATGTAAATTTTTAAATAGTCATTTACTAAAAATAAATTCCACTGAAAGAAATATTGCTTTATAATATAGAGGTAATTTAAATAAATTTTTATGTTATTAATGGTAGGGGTGTTGCCAGAGTATCATACCAATTTCAGTAACCGTAGGAATAAATCCTTATACCAACTTTTAAACATTATCTCACTAGTTTTGAAATCTATCTAGCAAAGTAGTTAATATTCAAGACACTGGAGTCAGTGTCCCTGGCTAAAATATGAGCTTCTACCACATTCCAATTAATTAATACTAGCAAAATTTTCTTAGGTTTTTTGTGTCTCAGCTTCCTCATCTGTAAAATGTATAATCCTATCCATTTTACTTTGCTGTTTGGTGTAATAAAAGAATATATTCATCTAAAGTGTTTAGGACAGAATTTCTCATATAGTGATAAAAAAATTCACTCTGAAAAGTTATTCTTAATATACTTTAATAATGCATTATTATACTTTAATGTATAGACTGTGACTAATTGATGTTAATAAATACATATTCAATATTTGAAATTTATAACATATTATAGAATATCCAACATTTGTTGAAAAAAAATCACTTATTTGCCAATCTTGTTACTCCACTAACAGCTCCCTACTCATCAAGTTAGCTACTTTTCTTGGTAACTATTTGCATATGAACCTGCATTCCCAAGATTCAAAAATGGTAACATTCACCGCAACAGTGTTAAATGCTTTTGTTTTACTGTAAAATTATTTTATCCTTTATCATAAAAAAGTAACCTTATCATAAAAAAACATGCTTAAATAATTGTACAAAACATAAGCACATTACGTGATATTTAATAATAAGGTCAAAATAAAATATTAAATTAAGTATTTGTCTTTGCATCTGATCAAATCATTATCAGTTTTGTTTAAATTTTAAGAAGGAAAACAATAGCAGCTTGAATTCCAAATCTAATATATGCTAGAACTCAATGTTTTAGATTTCCAAAGCTAATGTATTGTGTTATTTTCCTAATGTTTTCTCACCGTTGATCACTTGTGTATTATTCATTGGAATTCTCATTCATTTACATTGTCAGTAGTTTAGTTTATCTAGTTTGTTTTAAGATTAACAGCAAACAGAACAATACTTTCCTTAGACATTAGATTTCATAGTTTGAATTTAATTTCAAATATGTCTTAAAACTTAGGCTTGAGAAGGATTGCAATGTATGTCCGTGATACTGGAAATATATTTTATCTATGATTGTTTCATATCAGTTCAATTTCTCTGGAGTTTTTCTAAATTAAGGAAAACAGTCAAATCAGTCCTAATTCTGTATTGCTTTAAAAATTTAATACATTTTAGTTTCACACAATTTTTAAAGCATATGAAAATGCCTCAATGTTGATTTTTGGCTGTGATGAGCTGGCTCAATTGCAAATCTTAGGACTTCTACCCTGAGGAAATTAGTTCTAGTATTACCTTTTTCGATTCTCCATCAGTTTTTTCTGTTCATGAGAGAACTTACACACATCTTGGATCTCTAACTTTAAAGTAGATCCTCTTGAAGTATTTTTATCTTGTTGTTTAATTTTCTGTATCCTGGAATGTCCTAATGATTTACTATCTATTTAAGTCTCATTTTGTCATTTTATATTAATATTTTGCAGTACAAGTTTAATTGTATGAATTATTTATTATTGTTTTCACTGTTCATTAGGAATTGTTTAATTCAAACTCAATCTTTGTCTATTACAAGCTATACCCTTTTCTATCTTAAAATCAACAGTACATTTCAACTATTATTGAATCCTTTTTGTGTTATTAGACATAATCTATTTTAGGAGTTAATATATTTTTATCATTTCCCTAACTGCTTTCCTATGTTTTCTGTTCAAAGCATTATTATGATTTCCTTTGATTATTCTGAGGATTTATCATTCTTCTTTCCATTTAAATTATTGTCTCTCAAGTCTTATAAACAATGCTCTATTTGTTTAAAATTATTTGATAATGTTTTTCATGAAACACAAGGGGAGAATGCCGTATGGACTCACATTCAGACTTCCATTTTTAAAATTCCTATATCTATGAATCTTTTTTAAAAGTTAATTTACCATAAATGCATATTCACAATAAAAAATAAAAATAATGCAAAAAAAATCAAATGTTAAAAGTAAGTTTTCTTTCTTCACTTGAGTCATATTTTCTTCCCAGAATACTTATATATATTCACGGTTCAAATATTAAATTCATCATGACTTAGCTTTAATGAGTTCTGATTATTTTACTGACTAGCTTACAGAAACATTGTTCTCCAACTACGTGTTCATTTTTTAAATGCAGTGGCATTTACTTGACCCCGATACAGCTTAGTGTATCAGGCTGGTATTCAACATGAAATCTTGTTTTAAAATTCTTGCTGAAATGCAAATAATATTGATGGAATTATCTTTTAAAAGTGATTCCTCACTATACTCAGTGTTATACTAATTTTATGTTGGGCACTAGATGATAAAAACTTTTGAACTTTTGCCATTCTAAAGTGGAATACTGAAAAAGTCCAAATAAATTTAGACTGTAAGAATGGCATAGATAGATGGTTAGATATAGATAGATAGATAGATAGATAGATAGATAGATAGATAGACAGATGATAGATAGATACATAGATAAGATACATAGATACATAGATAAATTTAAGGCAGAGAAATGAAGAGATCAATGTTAATACTTTAGTGACAATCACATTTTATCCATCTTTAAATGATTTTACTTTGGAAAAAAGGCTTTGATAAACAAATAGTATCTATCAGTTCATTCTATATTAATTATTTAATATTCTCAGTCATTATAACTGAGAGGCAAATTGCTTTTCAAAACCTCTTATTTTGGTCTTTTTACTTAGACTATTCAGAAATGTATGATAAGTAACCCTTAACTGACTACATTAAAAACAAACACTAGTACACTGGGAACACTAAATGCAGTACATAATAAGGTGATAACAAGTATTAGTTACCACAGCACTCACGTGAACTCGCCCTAGAAATTCAAGGCAAAACTATGTATAATCAATTAGTGATAACGTAATGACACTCCACAAGAAAGGCATCACTTCATAAGGCTTACTTTTTAGACACATATAAAGTGTGACGGAGGCAAAATATATTGAGTATAAATTCGTATTAGCTTTACCCTACCAATATGTTACATGCTGGCATTATCATGTCATAAGCATTAGAAAGCACAAAATTTACAAGAAAATCTCTTCCAATTTTTAAAAGCAGCCACAAAAACTTGGTATAATTTATTTAAAGTTGTAATTTTACTTGTAGTAAGAAATTGTCAGTTGATTGTTTCTATAGTAGAATTAATATATATTAGTATATATTCTACGGTAGAATATATGTGTGTGTATATATATATATAAACAGAAAGTAGGATGTTTATATAGTATGTAAAACATATATTTTGCATAATAATGTGTTGAGTAGTTTATTCTTGCAAATCAGAAATTTGAAGGATATGAACAGGAGTGATTCACATACCTTATTCAAAATGTACGAATTTAACAATTTTTTATTTGCTATTTACACTGGCACAGAATTCTTTCTTTTTAAAATAATTAATTCCAGGAACAAGGCCTCACTTACACAAATACATGTAACATTTAGCAATGTTTTTAATTTTTAATTTTTGTAGTTAGTGTACATATTTATGGGGTACAGGAGATGTTTTGACAAAGGCATGCAATGCATAATAATCACATCATGGAGAGTGGGGTATCCATCCCCTCAAGCATTTTTTTGTGTGTTACAAACAATCCAATTATGCTCTTTTCATTATTTTTAAATGTACAATTATGTTATTATTAACTTTAGTCCTCTGTTGTGCTATCAAATTCTAAGTTTTATTCATTTTTTCTACTAGCAATTCTTAGAGAATATCATCACGAGTGGAATGTAGAACTTGATTGATTATAACATTTTAAAAAATGGAAACAAAAAGTATATATTATAAGATATACAGTAACTTTATTTTATTATTTTATTTTATTTTTTTGTGATGGAGTCTAGCTCTGTCGCCAAGGCTGGAGTGCAGTGGCGCAATCTTGGCTCACTGCAAGCTCCGCCTCCCAGGTTCATGCCATTCTCCTGCCTCAGTCTCCCGAGTAGCTGGGATTACAGGCGCCCACCACCACGCCCGGCTAATTTTTTTTGTTTTTTTTTTTTTTGTATTTTTAGTAGAGACGGGGTTTCACCGTGTTAGCCAGGATGGTCTCGATCTCCTGACCTCATGATCCACCTGCCTCAGCCTCCCAAAGTGCTGGGATTACAGGCGTGAGCCACTGAGCCTGGCCGTGACTTTATTTTATAATAAGATCTGAGATAAACATTATTCTATTCCATTCATCACTTTTAAAAGTATCTTCAAAAGTATAAATGTGGCTGGGTGTGGTGGCTCACACCTGTAATCCCAGCATTTGGGGAGCCTGAAGCAGGAGGGTCACTTGAACCCAGGAGTTTGAGACAAATTTGGGCAACATAGTGAGACCCTATCTCTACAAAAATTTAAAAAATTAGCCAAGTGGGGTAGCACATGCCTTTAGTCACAGTTATTTGGGAGGGTGAGGTGGGAGGATCGCTTGAGCCTAGCAGATCTAGGCTGAGGCTGCAGGACGTGGTTGTACCACTGGACTCTAAATCTGGGCCACAGAGCAAGACACTGTCTGAAAAAAAAAAAAACAAATATATATATATATATACACACACACACACACACACACACACACACACACGGACACTTCTCTGTGAGTGTGTGTGCATGTGTGTAGAACTAGCTCTATTTCTGCTTATATGTTAGTAAAATGTTAGGTGATTGCATGTGCTCTAATTCTTAGTTGCTAAATCTCCAAAAGTATAAAATATTTTTGCATATATAAAATTATTCAAAAGTTATTTATTAGATATAAAACAATGAAAACTTGTGTTTTACTAATAACATGTTGAGCATATAACATAAAGGCCCCAGGCTTGGCACTGAGAGAATTAAGGATTACTAAAATACAATCTCTTCACACATATATAAATGTTAATCAAATAATAAATACATATTTGAACACTCAGACTATAATAAACATGATTTCCCCAGAGGGGAAGTATTTCTGGCTGGGAGATATCTGGAAAGTCTCCAAAGAAGTTATATTTGAGCTAAGTCATTTATTGATATTACTGCTGCCTTGCTTTCATCCAGTGATACCCTGGTTAAAATGACCATTATTTATATTTTTTAATTCTTGTTTAATGAGATTAGGTTTGATGATATCATGGGTAGAGATCACACATCAACACACACATATATATAGCCCATTGGACATATTATTATGTTGAGGATTATAATCAATCTAAAGGACAAATGCAACCTTGAATCAGTGACTCTTATCTGAAACTGCAAAATGTCATTTTCTGTATTCCTCCTCCTACCATTTTCATGAACTTAGTAGTAGACTAATCTCACCTAATCTTTCCTTAAGACTCTTTTATTGCTGATTAAATATCTTCCTATTAGAGGCTCACTTTCTGTCCCTTAGAAACAATTCATCATATGATCTCATTGATGACTTTAGCAGGATAGTTTCTCTGCTGTCCACAAACATAATAAAACAAAAATCAGATTCCCCACATTTTGTGTTTTCCCAATCCCAACATCTTTTTCATTTCTCTCGGAATATTTTTTCCTGATTGTTAATATCAGCAAGGTCTCTTGGCACCTTGTTAGTCCTCTACCTTGCTTCTGTCTGGAGTTCATTTTTACACTCTACCCACAGATTAATCTAGAAATTATATTTTTGTCATGTTTTAAAGAATTAAACACATGTAAATAAAATGCAGTTTATGTTGATAATTCATATTAGTAAGTTATGTCATAATTCAACCATTCCTTATTACTAATTTTTTTCTTTTTTTGAGACAGAGTCTTGCTCTGTCTCCCAGGCTAAATTGCAGTGACGGTATCTTGGCTCACTGCAACCTCCACCTCCCGGGTTCAGATGATTCTCCTGCCTCAGCCTCCTGAGTAGCTGAGAGTACAGGCATCTGTGACCACACCTGGCTAATTTTTGTATTTTTATTAGACACAGGGTTTCACCATGTTGGCCAGGCTGGTCTTGAACTCCTGACCTCAGATGATCTGCTCACCTTGAGTAACTTTTTAACCTTTGAAAAATTTATCTTACCTCATACAATTGCAGCTGATTTAAAACTGTCAAGGAATTCCAATAATATGCGAAGAGTTTGTAAAGGCCCTTAAAACAAAAATTAGATCATTTAAACGTGCATTACGTTACTTTCAGATACCACTCAACCCAGATATAAAAATGAAGATTGAAAAGAGAAATAAGCATTCCGTATGCCAATATTTCAAATTTATATTTAAGAGATGGTATTTCATGCGTGTGTATGTGTCTGTGTCTGACACTTTATTAGATTAAGTAATTTACTGAAATATAGTATTAAAAACGATAAGAAAAACTAAAGAATCATTGTTTTCCCCATACTAATCATGCTATTACCTTTGTCATGCTTAAAATATGACTAAATATTTTGAATTCTAATATGTTTCAATGTAAAATAAAGCATTTGGAAACATGTAAACTTTGTATTTGAGCCTATTAATCAGAATGAAACATTTTAAAAGTATATTTCATTGCGTACTTTCTTAACTCCAATATTTTCATTCATTTACATAGACATGTTTTCTCACTTGAGCTGAAATTCAAAAATAGTTAAAAATTATGTTGAGAAAGACAAAGAAATTATATAGAGAGAAAGGTTAGCTTTGACACCGATTGTATTTCTGTGGATATTTCCATGGCACAGATCAAAGAACTTTTTACATTAGAAATGAAAAAAAAATCCAACTCTAAGAAGGAAGGACAAAGTTACTTTCAATACCACTTTTTTCTTATATTTTAGTATTATATTAAATTGGACAATCAGAATGAAGGTAGTCCTTAGTAACTAGTAGCACAAAGAGACAGTATTATTTAACAATTCTGAGACAATGAAATATTACAGAAATATATGGTTTTCTCCCTTCACTATTCCTTCCATTTCACATTAAGCCTAACAAGTTCAAATTATGTAATTCTCACACAATGACTTAATTTTGTTCATTGGTTAAGTCATACATTTTATTCTATAAAATAATGTTGTAAGTAATGTTAGGTGCATAGACATCCTTGATTCTTTCCAAAATGTGTCTTTCTTGCCTAAAAGTGAATATTTTATTTTTGCATATGTTTTAACAGCAGTATTTATAAAGTAAGAATTGGTTTTGCCTGTGAAATTAGTTAGGGAGGCTGTACACAGTTAAATACTGTCTAGTGCATGATTAAAAGAACCTTTGAGGTTAACTTGGATATCACTGATTGGTTTTACATGTTTACCTTTTACTGTGCTTTGTACTTAAAATAGCTCTCTTTTTCTGAGTAATAGTCAGTGGTACACGGAAACTGCGTGGTACAAACAAATGCAATTTAAAATACAGAACTTATTATGAAATACTCATCTATTTTGGTGCTGCTACTTCAGCCAAATTTTATGCTTCACGATCCACTGAACATTTCTTGTGACTGCCCTGCTTTGGGTCAGACCATTTTCAGCCTCAGAGCAACTTGTCTGTTTATCTAAGTCTTCCTTCTACTGAATAGGTCATGTCAAATGTCACTGTTCACAAGGACTTCCTTTATAAAAATTGTTTTCTTGCATCTGAGATTCTATAAGCTTTTGTGCTACATACTCACCACTCACTATCATGTGATAATTTTCCAATGTTAAATCAGGCCTACTAAATGTTAACTCTCATTTGTGCCCATTTTCTACCAACCTACTGTATTTATTTAATAACGAGATAATTTCAAATTAGCCATTAATGTTTCAAAATCTCTCTATACTGCTTAAATACCCACTTTCCACCTTATCTCCTACTTCACAGAAAAAATGAAAACGATCAAAATGTAACTCCCTGTAGGTCTACAAATCTACCTGCATCCACGCTCATTCTCCATCCATCTTTCCACTAAAAGTTCCTCAAATGCTTTTAATACTCTAAAATTTTTTAAAACATTTCATAGACATCATGTTACCTTTTTATGCTACTATACTCTCCTAAATTTTATTTGTTTGCAAGTGATATTTGATTATTTATTTGTACCTTTGTTATGTTGCAGACAAAATTAGAATATATGAATGAAGCACAAATAAGAAAAGCAAAATGAACTACAGACAGCTAAGAATTCTGAACACGTGTTATCTATCTTTCTAGCTCATTTTCTACAGAGATAGACAGACTTTTTTATATTAAACTATTAATATATCATGAAAACTTTCTACAAATGTATATATGTTTTTATGGCACTAATTGTTGTATTTCACAATCTGTTTTTCACCGTCTAATTGTTCCTTCTCTTTTTTGAGAATCTTTCTTGGTTAATTATTTTATTTTGGTTTCTTGACCTCCTTTACTTTATTGGTTTCTCTCCCAATATCCCAAATGTTTTTCAACCTAAAACTAAGAAAATACATATTCGCCCCCACTTATTTTTCTCTTGTATCTCTGTCCGTGCTTTCATTATTAAATTTATTCTGAGAGCTCTCCATATGTCTTGAATTCTCTTCTTCAGATCTTGCAAGTTTCTCAGTAGACTTAAATATAGTTTCTATTACCAAAATTCCTGTGAAAATGTTCTTTTAAATGTCAACAATGACTCTTCATGTGAAACTATAATTTATTTTTCATCCTTTTATATGTTTTATTCTCATCTAGAACAGTCCATGCACTAGCCATTATTTTCTCCTTGAAACTACATTATTGAGCACTGTTTTAGGGTATTCCACAGAAACACAATTAATAGGTATATAGATATAGATAATGGCATATAAATATAGCAGGGGTCAGGTCCTTAGGTAGCATTGGCTGACCCAGCTCTCTCATTATAGTTCTAAGAACAACTGTGGAATATACCAAGAATGTAATGTCCTGAGATATGGAGGAACTGTCCAAAAACAATCCACACTATGCCATTATCCCTTATAGAACAGGATATTCTGAAAAGCTGGAGCTCAGCAATTCAAGTTGTGCTCAGGTTATAAAAACTCGGGGCAGAGTACACTCAGGGTTCATCCACTGTGGTATGATGAAGGATCTGCACAGACCCCATTTCCGGTACCCTGGGCAGCTTTCCTGATCCTTGAGGGACTGGCTCACCATGAACCCAAGTCTTCTGTTTATTCTTGCTGCCTATCTGTGAGTAATAAATCTGCTTTGCCTGACTTTTACAAATGTTCTCTCTCACCAAACTCATACAAATGATAGAGGTACTGGGGCTCTTTTTGCCCCCTCACAGCTCTCCTTATAGTGTTGGGACTGTTGCAGCAGCTAGGTTTACTCTAAGCCCCTGCCAGACCTACAAGCCAAACTTTGCTGAGTGAGAGAGAGGGGTTAAGATAGATACATAATGGAGATCTCTCTCTCTGTATATATATATCTCTAAACCTTCCCTCCCCGCCATAAAATTTTTCTGTGGGTGTATGCACACACACATAGAGAGGTTTATTTTAAGAAATTGGCTCAAGTGATTTTGGAGGTTTACTTTGTAGGGCCAACCCACTGGCTGAAAATTCAAGTGACAATTGATGTTGAAGTTTTGAGACTGAAATTCACAGACAAGTCAGGCAGGATAGAAACATAGGCACAGTTGGACGTTTGCAGTGTTGTGACAGAATTTCTTCAGAAAACCTCAGTCTTTGCTCTTGAGGCTTTTAACTGATTGGATGAGGTCTGCACACATTGTTAAGAGTAATCTGCTATGCCTAAAGTCTACCGATTGTAAATGTTAGTCATATGTAAAAAAAATACCTTTAAAGTATTATCTAAACAGGTGCTTCACCAAACAACTGGGTATCATAGCCTAGCCAAGTTAACACATAAAGTTAACCATTACAGCCAATAATAGATCTTCTCTTCTACCTCTATAGCTCTCTATAAAGCTCTCTTTTCGTTGGTTCTGTTTCCTAAGTTTTTCACTTTAACACACATTTGATGGTATTTCTTCTGCTTTTAATTGCAATTATTATCTCTAGAAATCTCTTCTATTCACATGTGTCAAGTATAACCATGCCAAAAAGCTCACACATCTGTTTCTTCAACTATGATTAGTTCTTTATACTCTACATAAACATGTGTTTAACTGAGTACTGGAAAGATCAATGTTTATGTCCCACAGATTATTATGAGTTAAATAGTTCTAAGTGAGGTACTATTTTATTATTATTCAGCAATATCCTACTGTTTTTTCCTGGTTCTACTAACAGAAAATATAGGCTTAAAAATCCAATAGTTTACATAAAATATTTCAACGTTTTCTAGATTTTCTATCCTATACGAACCTCTAGTTTAGTAATTGAAGGGCAATTAGAGACTTTACTACTTGTCTTCAGTCTACCTTCAGTTACATCTCCAGCCTATCCTGTAAGAAATCTCACTCAATGACTTGCTCTGTAAAGTTAGGTCTTGTTTCTTTATATGAGCTATTTGTAAGTTTTTCATTCCAAAATAATTGTTGAGCAAATACCAAGTGCCAGTCACTTTTTGGTTACCCCACCATCTTGCCTGTCAGTGGACTTAGTCACATAGTTTAATAGTTCAAGGCCAGTTCTAAAAATAAACAAAGACCACCTGGGAATCATTAAATACTGAAATCTATAATATTTAGATATCTTTAGAGATTTTTAAAATAATATAATATTAGGAATAAGAAGTCAGCAATAGTGAAAAAAGTTGTGACTAAAGTCTGCTTTTTTTTTTCTTTTTCAGTATAAAATATTACTCTGAGAAATGTTAATTTGAAATATAGTAAGGTGGACAATAGCAAAATGTTTAGCTTACATGTCACACAAATTGATGGCTTTATGCCCCATTCTGAGCTTGAATAAAATTATATTTCAAGTTAATCTACAAGGGATCCCACTCACTGAGTTAATTAGGATTTACCAATTCTCATAGATCAAGGGGCCACAAGTCAGAAGGGTAAAACAGGTTTTAAATATTAATAGTGTGTCAGAAAATCTTCACTAAACCAGTTAAATTATGATTTTCAAATTAATTGGGTAAATAACTATTGCAGAGTAGAAAACTGAAATCAAGTGGGCAAGCTAATATGAACAAAGTTTAAAGAAGATGTCCGTGAATATAAAGTTACAAAATGTAAGATACCCAGGCATTAACTGGATAAAGATAAAATGCCTTATGATACTTCTTGCTCAGCTTCTAGTTAAAAACTCATGTCCCCAGAT
Organism: Homo sapiens; assembly: GCF_000001405.40. NCBI lineage: Eukaryota > Metazoa > Chordata > Mammalia > Primates > Hominidae > Homo > Homo sapiens. The sequence goes on along the minus strand of NC_000004.12, from coordinate 134,803,756 downwards.
TCACCTTGACTGTTGGTGTTTAGTTCTGAATAGTGACATTTGTAATTCCTGTCAATTTTTTAAGTGTTAAAATTCATTTAAATATTTTTAATTTAATAATAATCCACTGATAGGGATGAAAGGAGAGTGCTTTTTACAAATTCAGTTTAATTGATATTTCAATAGATTTTTGTGTGATAAGAAGTTTTTGACATATTTTATGTTACTGACATATTTACTCTTTTTCTTCATTAGTAGCAACCTGTATTTGATAAGCAGAAAAAAAGATAGAGTGGAGACTACTCAAATTCTAGTTTAAATAAGGAATTAGAATTACATGATACAAAATTATAACTTCAATTATGAAAGTAAGCAGATAACCAGTGATTCTGGTAAACACTGGTATCACAAACAAGAAAATAAAGAAAACTTTCACCCACTAATAAATGTATCACATTGCTTTTAATAATTTCATTGGAAATCATTCTATTTAAGTGAATTCAATTGATATTGGAATAATAGTTATAGCATTGCTAAGACTTTTTATTTTAGCCTCACTAAAGTAATTTACCACAGTAAGATAATTTGAAAACCTATTGCGCTAACTTACTGGAGTTTGTGATTTATGGTTTTTTGTAACATGTTTAGAATTTGTACGTCCAATTCTGTATTACTTAAAGATCACCCTGCCATCATTACGTATCAATTTTAGGCCCTGAAAAACCTAGATCCTTCCATGCTTTTAGGATATGTCAAGCTCTTCAGTTTTTTGTTATTGTTGTTGCTACACCCCTAACACCTTTATCCCACCTAAAAGAAACAGGTAGGATAATATGAATGTGTTTAGGAAATCTTATTTATTATTGGTCATCACTGGAAGGAACATAGTCACTGGGTTGGGATTTTTTCCCACTTCTCCTCTTTGTTTGGCTCTGTTAGGATTCTTTGTATGTAATCTCATCTTATCTCACAGCTATATGTAAGTCAAGCCCAGGTCTTTCTGCTTGCATTAAGGAAGCCATACATGCATAGGACACAGCAGAACGAAGTGGTACACAGTTATCTACACCAGGCAAAAAAAAAAAAAAAAACCTTAAAACCATGTGGCAATGGTCAGTAGAACTAGAGTTTGCGTAAAGTTTAAAGCAAAATAATTTAGCAACATGTGTGTAATCATTCTTTCTTGTGTATGGAATTTATTGAATGGCCAAGTAAAATACACTTATTGAAATATAGTATCCCAATTCTAGATAATTAAATAGGTTAATGAAATACTATACTTTTTTTCAAAACATAGCAAAATTACTCATTTTGCCATATGAAATTATATTCAATTTTAGTCACGAAATTATTAATGTTATACTTGTAAATTTGTATGTCCTCATGGCAACTGAGTTTGTTTTGTTATTTACCTGCTTGACGTTGGAAAAAATTATTCTAAAACATTCTAATTTCAAGTATTTAGACAAATAATTTAAATTTGTGAAGGGATAGCAATTGATATTTGAACGTACTGGGCAGAGTTGCATTGTTGTTTATTTCCTCCTTGTTTAATATCTAATCCAAACTTGGATACAAAACTATTCAGTGACTAATTTAAACTCATGTAAACATTTATAGGATTCACATTATTAAGTGTGCATCACCCTCTCTATAAATACAATGAAATAACTCTCAAGGATATACCCAGTCTGTAATTGATTGGTGCAAAAAGGATACTCTGATCATCTTGTTAAAAAAAATTAGGATTTTTATAGTACCTACCAATAAATGATATAATATAATAACTGAGTATTACTTGCAGCATAAGAAATATTATTTCTTTTAAAACATGATTTGATGCCTTTTTTTCCCAAAATGGTTTAAGATTTAAAAAAAAAAAAAAAAAAAGAAGGAAGAGTTTAGATAGATTTAATTGGATTATGGTTGAGCTGTCTGGGTGAATTAGCAATGATACTGGACAGTGAATAAGGAATTTAGATACTTTATTTAGAAGCGTTCTGATTTTCTCCTGGGAATATTTGCAAATGAACACTATGTGTGTGTGTGTGTGTGTGTGTGTGTATGTGTGTGTATGTATGTATACATATACATATATATATTATATATATATTATATATATTATATATATTATATATATATTATATATATTATATATATATATTATATATATATTATATATATATTATATATATATATATATACAGGGACTTGGTCTCCTCTTTAACAGAGTCTACTTGACACGTAAATATATTTTTGTATGGAGGTAGTTAATAATCTAACTGTTGAATTTCTTTTATTAAAACATTAAAATTGTGGAAACTAGGGTCAATGTTGAGAATTCTTTTAAAATCTTCTTGCGTTTTCTCACCCTTTTACATAATGAATAACATGTTGGTATGTTCTACCAGACAGAAAAATGAATTTTTAAAAAAAGTTCCTTGTAGACTTGGTACAGAAAAGCCAACGATACTTTCCTTTAGTAATTCTGTAACAAAATATTATGTTTTAACACCGTGTTATATCCTGAGAAACATCTCTTATCCTTGTCTGATCTTGTAAGAACCTCTCAGGGCAAACACAATGTGTGATTCTTCTTTATATTCCACTCTGAGCCTAGAAACACCTTTTATGCTTCTTCAGTATCTGTTCGCCTTTTATTCCTTTCTGCCTCCTTCAAATAAATCATTTAATCAGTCATCCTGCCTACCACGCATCACCTCTCATTCCTTACTTTATATCTGTAGTGTCTAATTTTCTACCAACTTTACTTTTACCCTAAAATATTTTGTTTTCATTCTTGACACTATTTTTTGTCCATATGCACCTCAAGTTATATTTTTATTCAAATGTATTGTTTTCTCTCATTGACAAAATTCTTTAAAGATGGTCACCCACATTATTTTTACCCATTTTCTCACATCCATTTTAATCATACCAAAATTATTTGCCGTTTGCTTTCGAACCCACTATATTAATACAACTGTACTTTTGTATGACATGCATTTTATACATTAATCATTTTCTTTTATTTTTGCATTGTGTTTAAAATTGAAAAAAAATTACATCTCTAATTTATTTCAATGTTGACATCCATAAAAAATAGACATTCTAGGTAACCCTCAATCATTACCTGTTTTCATTTGTCTCTCTCTCTCTCTCCCCTCATGTTTTCCTTTCATTCTTTCTCTTTTCCTTTTAACTCTGTAGTCTCTTCTAAAATCCCATTCTTTTTATAGTTTATCACTTTATAAGGGTAACTCTCACATCCACATCTTTAGAAATTACTTGTTTTATCATCTCTATTCCCATTCTTCCTATTTACTTTCCTCTATTCTCAGTTATTTCCGTTTATCTGCTTATGGCATCATGATTATTTCTTATTGTCCAGATTCAAATTATTGGATTTGTTGTTATATTTTTCTTCTGTAAATCAATAGGCATTGAATATTAAAATTAACATTTAATTCCAATGAAGCAGATATTTGTCACTCCTCACTGTGGAACATAAAAAATAGAAACTCTGAGGGTGTTTGCTCCTAATTTTTTTCAAAGTCATAATTTTTTTTCATGTAATGTCATGGCTGAAAAAAAATTCACTTCTTCCTCTGTGATTATAAAATGAAGTCTAGCCTTATTCTGCTATTGAATGCTTTTCATTATTAGGCCTATAGTAATTCTCTCAATTTCCTTGGAATTGTCATCACAAAAACTTAGCACCTGCCTATAATATCCAAAGGAACTTTCATTTTTATCCAAGTCATTGTCAACAAATTGAAAACAGCAATGTCATCATCAAGAACGACATAACAACAAAGAAACTATCTTTCCACCTTTACTCAAATTTTTCCATTTTTTTTCTCTCTCTCTCTTTTTTTTTTTTTTTTTTTTTTTTGTTGTTGTTGTTGAAATAGGATCTCGCTTTGTCGCCCAGTCTTGAGTACAGTAGCGGGAACACAACTCACTGCAGCCTCCACCTCCTAAGCTCAAGTGATCCTCCTGCTTCAGCCTCCTGACTAGCTAGGACTACAGGTACACAGCACCACATCTGGCTATTTTTTTGTAGAGATGAAGTTTCACCATGTTGCCCATGCTGGTCTCAAACTCCTAAGCTCAAACAATCCACCCACCTTGGCCTCCCAAAGTGCTGGAATTACACGTGTGAGCCATCGTGCCAGGCGTGTTCTACCTTTCTATAATGAATTATCCTTTCTACTTAATGAAGCCAGATGCTTTTGATAAGACTCAGGCCATAGCCTCTCTTTATCCAGCAGGTCTGCCTCAAAAACCAGTCAGTCACACAGAAATATGTAGAAAACTGCAAGAGAAAGTGTTATTTATATTTTGTATGTGTTAGAACTTGGAAGGTTGTAATATTCTTTTGTAGATGAGTTGCAAGCTGTTAGTTATGCTGCTCTTGGAAACTTATCAATATTTGGACCCACTAACTATCTTCTTTTTTTCCCCCTATCTCCACTATACTTCCTAGCCTCTAGTAAACATCATTCATTCTCTATCTGCATGAGTTAAATACATTTTTTATCTCCAACATATTAGGGATAACATGCAATATTTGTCAGTAAGATAGAATGAATAAAATCTAGTGTTTGGCAGCAGAATAGGGCTTGACTGCTCTTTTTTTGAGCTCTGTAGAATATTCCATTGTTGGGATGTGCCACAGTTTATTTATCTATTTGCATACGGAAGGATATTTTGGTTACTTCAGGTTTTGATAATTATAAGTGAACCTGCTATAAACCTTTATGTTCAAATTTTTGTCTAAACATAAGTTTTCAACTCATTTGAGAAAATACCAAGGAATACAATTGCTAGATTGTATTGTAAGGGTATATTTAGTTTTGTAAGAAACTGCCATCTTACCTTCTAAAGTGACTACACTATTTTGCATTCTCACCAGCAATGAGTGATATTTCCTTTCCTTTTCAGCTTTTAGTGTTTCAGTGTTTTTGATTTTAGCCATTCTAGTAGTGGGATAGTGTTGACTCACTGTTTAAATTTGCAATTCCCTAATGACGTATGATGAGTATATTTTCATATGCTTATTTGCCATCTGTATCTTTTTGGTGAGGTGTCTATTCAGACCTTTTGCCCATTTATAATTGTGCTGTTCATTTTCTTATGATTGAGTTTTAAGAGTTCCTTGTGTATTTTGAATAATAGTCCTTTATCACATATGTATCCCACAAATATTTTCTCCAAGTCTGTGGTTTGTCTTCTAATTCTCTCGACAGTGTTTCCTAGGTCAGAAGAGTTTAATTTTAATGAAATCCAGCTTATCAATAATTTCTTTCATAAATTGGGTCATTAGTGTTGTCTCTAAAATGCCATTGCCAAATCCAAGGTTGTATGGGTTTTCTCCTATGTTGACTTCTAGGAGTTTTATAGTTTGGCACCTTACATTTAGGTTGTGATCTATTCTGAGTAAGTTTTGGGGAGCAGTGTAAGATTTCTCCCTACATTTTCTTTTACAAGTGGATGTCAAGTTGTTTTAGCACCATGTGTTGAAGACTTTTTCTGTGTTATTGCCCTTTCTCTTATGTCAAAGATCAGTTGCATGTACTTGTGTGGGTCTATTTCTGGGCTCTCTACTCTGTTTCACTGGCCTATTTGTCTGTTCTTTCACCAATACAACACTGTCTTGATTACTATCACTTTATTGTTAAATCTTGACATGGGGTAGTGTTGGTACTCTGACTTTGTTTTTCCTCAATATTGTATTGATTATGCTGTACCCTTTACCTCTCCATGTACACTTTAATATCATTTTATGAATTTCTACAAAATATTTTTTGATATTTTGATTGAAATTGCATTAAATCTACAGATCAAATTGGGAAGAAGTGACATTTTGACAAAATTGAGTCTTCTTATCTATTGACATGAAATTAGTCCCAGGCAACTAGAACTTATTTTTAAATTTCTTTCATTAGTTTTATAGTTTTCCCTATATAAATCTTATAAGTATTTTTGTTATGATTATACCTAAGTATTTTATTTCTGGGGTGTGGAATTCTGCATTTCTTATTTTTAGAATTTCCATATGACTTCTTTGTTTTATAGTTAACAGTGGCATAAGAATTTTAAAGGTATCTGAAAACTTCTTTATCTAAAGCTCTTTCAATTGTTTTTTTATTATTATTATACTTTAAGTTTTAGGGTACATGTGCACAACGTGCAGGTTTGTTGCATATGTATACATGTGCCATGTTGGTGTGCTGCAACCATTAACTCAATATTTAACATTAGGTATATCTCCTAATGCTATCCCTCCCCACTCCCCCAACCCCACAACAGGCCCTGGTGTGTGATGTTTCCCTTCCTGTGTCCATGTGTTCTCATTGTTCAATTCCCACCTGTGAGTGAGAACATACGGTGTTTGGTTTTTTGTCCTTGTGATAGTTTGCTGAGAATGATGGTTTCCAGCTTCATCCATGTCCCTACAAAGGACACGAACTCATCATTTTTTATGTGCATAGTATTCCATGGTGTATATGTGCCACATATTCTTAATCCAGTCTATCATTGTTGGACATTTGGGTTGGTTCCAAGTCTTTGCTATTGTGAATAGTGCTGCAATAAACATACAAGTGCATGTGTCTTTATAGCAGCATGATTTATAATCCTTTGGGTATATACCCAGTAATGGGATGGCTGGGTCAAATGGTATTTCTAGTTCTAGATCCCTGAGGAATCGCCACATGACTTCCACAATGGTTGAACCAGTTTACAGTCCCACCAGCAGTGTAAAAGTGTTCCTATTTCTCCACATCCTCTCCAGCACCTGTTGTTTCCCAACTTTTTAAAGATCACCATTCTAACTGGTGTGAGATGGTATCTCATTGTGGTTTTGATTTGCATTTATCTGATGGCCAGTGATGATGAGCATTTTTTCATGTGTCTTTTGGCTGCATAAATATCTTCTTTTGAGAAGTGTCTGTTCATATCCTTCGCCCACTTGTTGATGGGGCTGTTTGTTTTTTTTGTTGTAAATTTGTTTGAGTCCATTGTAGATCCTGGATATTAGCCCTTTGTCAGATGAGTAGATTGCAAAAATTTTCTCCCATTCTGTTAGTTGCCTGTTTTTATAACATATTGAGTCCTGAGGTTTTTTAGTCAAATGATCTTGATTTCTCTCATCCTTGATTATTTTTTAGAGTTGTACATTTGTGTCTTAAGAATTTGAAATTTTGAGGCAAAGAATAATAGTAACTTTTTACAGATAGTTCAATTTTCTCTCACAGCTTATTAGAGGTGGTAGCAATCTAGGAACATCTCATATCGGTTTTGATAATGATGATAATTTTAAGATGTGCTTCAGTTTCTATTAAAATTAGGCTACCCTTGCTTTACCCTTATTTCAAAAGAGTCATCTGCTCATGCCCAAATATAAACTCTAATTTCGATTTAGTTGTCAATTTTTCTCCTTAGTTTGTCAGCCTCTCAGAAACTTTGTGAAAAATCATGTGAAACTCCAAGAAGAAAATGTTCTTAAATGCTTTAGAATTCTTCCGGGATTTTTTTTTATCTCTTGAATTTGTTTATGTAGATTCATGTTTTAAAAGATTTTGTTTACTTTTTACGGCTGCCTTTGATGAGAAGATGAGTATAAATTTCCTAAAATGCCATTACTGCCAGTAGGAATTTTAATTATTTCTTAATTTTTTAGTCCTTTAGCTTGTGATGTGTCAAGGCTGTATCCATTATATGATAACCGTCTTTTTTTTTTGTTTGTTTTCTGACATGGTCCTGCTATGTCGCCTTGGCTGGAGCGCAGTGCTACGATCTTGGTTCACTGAAACCTCTGCCTCCTGGGTTCAAGTGACTCTCCTGCCTCAGCCTCCCAAGTAGCTGGGACTAGAGGGGCGCACCACCAAACCCAGCTAATTTTCATATTTTTTGGTAGAGAAGGGTTTCACCATGTTAGCCAGGTTGATCTTGAACTACTGACCTCAAGTGATTTGCCTACCTTGTCCTCCCAAAGTGCGGGGATTAAAGGCATGAGCGACCGTGCCTAGCCAATAATCATCTTAATATATCTTTATAGTGTAATCTTTATATCATTCTCGCAGTACTGTGACCTCAAATAATGAGTTTCTAGCAAATACTGATTGAAAGAATAAAAAGTTTCAAATACACGCATATATAAATATATAATTTCAGCTGGGCACGGTGGCTTATGCCTGTAATCCCAGCATTTTGTGTGATGTTCCCCTCCCTGTGTCCATGTGTTCTCATTGTTCAACTCCCACTTATGAGTGAGAACATGCGGTGTTTGGTTTTCTGTCCCTGCGATATTTTGCTGAGAATAATGGTTTCCAGCTTCATCCATGTCTCTACAAAGGACATGAACTCATCTTTTTTTATGGCTGCATAGTATTCCATGGTGTATATGTGCCACATTTTCTTTATCCACTCTATTATTGATGGATATTTGTGTTGATTCCAAGTCTTTGCTATTGTGAATAGTGCTGCAGTAAACATACATGTGCATGTGTCTTTATAGTAGAATGATTTATAATCCTTTGGGTATATACCCCGTAATGGGATTGCTGGGTCAAATGGTATTTCTGGTTCTAGATCCTTGAGGAATTGCCACACTGTCTTCCACAATGGTTGAACTAATTTACACTCCCACCAACAGTGTAAAAGCGTTCTTATTTCTCCACATCCTCTCCAGCGTGTGTTATTTTCTGACTTTTTAATGATTGCCATTCTAACTGGCATGAGATTGTATCTCATTGTGGTTTTCATTTGCATTTCTCTGATGACCAGTGATGATGAGCATTTTTTCATATATTTGTTGGCTTCATAAATGTCTTCTTTTGAGAAGTGTCTGTTCATATCCTTTGCTTACTTTTTGATGGGGTTGTCTGTTTTTTCTTGTAAATTGGTTTAAGTTCTTTGTAGATTCTGGATATTATACCTTTGTCAGATGGATAGATTGCAAAAATGTTCTCCCATTCTGTAGGTTGCCTGTTCACTCTGATGATAGGTTCTTTTGCTGGGCAGAAGCTCTTTAGTTTAATTGCATCCCATTTGTCTATTTTGGCTTTTGTTGCCATTGCTTTTGGTGTTTTAGACATGAAGTCTTTGCCCATGCCTATGTCGTTAATGGTATTGCCTAGGTTTTCTTCTAGGGTTTTTATGGTTTTAGGTCTTACATTTAGGTCTTTAAACCATCTTGAGTTAATTTTTGTATAAGGTGTAAGGAAGGGATCCAGTTTCAGCTTTTTACATATGGCTAGCGAGTTTTTGCAGTACCACTTATTAAATATGGAATCCATTCCCCACTGATTGTTTTTGTCAGGTTTGTCAGAGATCAGGTGGTTGTAGATGTGTGGTGTTATTTCTGAGGCCTCTGTTCTATTCCATTGGTGCATATCTGTTTTGGTATCAGTACCATGCTGTTTTGGTTACTGTAGCCTTGTAGTATACTTTGAAGTCAGGTAGCATGATGCTTCCAGCTTTGCTCTTTTTGCTTAGGATTGTCTTGGTTATGTGGATTCTTTTTTGGTTCCATATGAAATTTAAAGTAGCTTTTTCCAATTCTGTGAAGAAAGTCAGTGGTAGCTTGATGGGGATAGCATTGAATCTATAAATTACCTTGGGCAGTATGGCCATTTTCACGATATTGATTCTTCCTACCCATGAGCATGGAATGTTCTTCCATTTGTATCCTCTTTTATTTCATTGAGCAGTGGTTTGTAGTTCTTCTTGAAGAGGTCCTTCACATCCCTTATAAGTTGGATTCCTAGGTATTTTATTCTCTTCGAAGCAAGTGTGAATGGGAGTTCACTCATGATTTGACTCTCTGTCTGTCTATTCTTGGTGTATAGGAATGCCTGTGCTTTTTGCGCATTGATTTGTATCCTTAGAATTTGCTGAAGTGGCTTATCAGCTTAAAGAGATTTTGGGCTGAAAGGTTGGGGTTTTCTAAATTTATAATCATGTCATCTGCAAACAGAGACAATTTGACTTCCTCTTTTCCTAAATGAATATATTTATTTATTTCTCATTTCTGAATACCCTGGCCAGAACTTCCAATACTATGTGGAATAGGAGTGGTGAGAGAGGGCATCCTTGTCTTGTGCCAGTTTTCAGAGGGAATGCTTCCCATTTTTTCCCATTCAGTATGATATTGGCTGTGGGTTTGTCATAAATAGCTCTTATTATTTTGAGATATGTTCCATCAATACCTAGTTTATTGAGAGTTTTTGCATAAAAGGCTGTTGAATTTTGTCCAAGGCCTTTTCTGCATCTATTGAGATAATCATGTGGTTTTTGTCGTTGGTGCTGTTTATGTGATGGATTACGTTTATTGATTTGCATATATTGAATGAGCCTTACATCCCAGAGATGAAGCCGATTTGATCATGGTGGATAAGCTTTTTGATGTGCTGCTGGATTTGATTTGCCAGTATTTTACTGAGGATTTTTCACATAGATGTTCATCAAGGATATTGAACAAAAATTCTCTTTTTTCTTGTGTCTCTGCCAGGCTTTGGTATCAGGATAATATTGGCCTCATAAAATGAGTTAGGGAGGAGTCCCTCATTTTCTATTGAGTGGAATAGTTTCAGAAGGAATGGTACCAGCTCCTCTTTGTACCTCCGGTAGAATTCGGCTGTGAATCCATCTGGTCCTAGACTTTTTTTTACTTGGTAGGCTATTAATTACAGCCTCAATTTCAGAACCTGTTAATGGTCTATTCGGAGATTCAACTTCTCCTTGTTTAGTCTTGGGAGAGTGTATGTGTACAGGAATTTATCCATTTCTTCTAGATTTTCTAGTTTATTTGCATAGAGGTATTTATAGTATTCTCTGGTGGTAGTTTGCATTTCTGTGGGATCAGTGGTGCTATCCCGTTTATCAATTTTTATTGTGTCTATTTGATTCTTCTTTCTTTTATTCTTTATTAATCTTGCTAACAGTCTATTTATTTTGTTGGTCTTTTCAAAAAACCAGCTCTTGGATTCATTGATGTTTTGAAAGGTTTTTTTTGTTTTGTTTTTATCTCCTTCAGTTCTGCTCTGATCTTAGTTGTTTCTTGTCTTCAGCTAGCTTTTGAATTTGTTTGCTCTTGCTTCTCTAGTTATTTTAATTGTGATGTTAAGGTGTCGATTTTAAATCTTTCCTGCTTTCTCTTGTGGGCATTTAGTGCTATAAATTTCCCTGTACACACTGCTTTAAATGTGTCCCAGCGATTCTGGTACATTGTGTCTTTGTTCTCATTGTTTTCAAAGAGCATCTTTATTTCTGCCATATTTTTGTTATTTACCCAGTAGTCATTCAGAAGAAGGTTGTTCAGTTTCCATGTAGTTGGGCAGCTTTTTTTTCTTCTTTTTTTCGATACAGAGTTTCGCTCTTGTTGTCCAGACTGGAGTACAATAGCACGATCTCAGCTCACTGCAACCTCTGCCTCTTGGGTACAAGTGGTTCTCCTGCCTCAGCCTCCCAAGTAGCTGGGATTACAGGCACATGCCACCATGCCAAGGTAATTTTTGTATTTTTAATAGAGATGGGGTTTCTCCATGTTAGTCAGGCTGGTCTTGAACTTCTGACCTCAGGTGATCTGTCCACCTCGGCCTCCCAAAGTGCTGGGATTACAGGCGTGAGCCACCGCACCCGGCCAGTTGTGCAGTTTTGAGAGAGTTTCTTAACTGTGAGTTCTAATTTGATTGCACTGTGGTCTGAGAAACTGTTTGTTGTGATTTCTTTTCTTTTACATTTGCTGAGGAGTGTTTTACTTCCAATTATGTGGTCAATTTTAGAATAAGTGAGATGCGGTGATGTGAATAATGTATATTCCATTGATTTGGGGTGGAGATCTCTGTAGATGTCTATTAGGTCCACTTGGTCCAGAACTGAGTTCAAGTCCTGGATATCCTTGTTAATTTTATGTCTCCTTGATCCGTCTAATATTGACAGTCAGGTGTTAAAGTCTCCCATCATTATTGCGTGGGAGTCTAAGTCTCTTTGTAGGTATCTAAGAACTTGCTTTATGAATCTGGTTGCTCTTGTATTAGGTGCATATATATTTAGGATAGTTAGCTCTTCTTGTTGAATTGATCCCTTTGCCATTATGTAATGGCCTTCTTTTTCTCTTTTGATCTTTGTTGGTTTAAAGTTTGTTTTATCAGAGACCAGGATTACAATGACTGCTTTTTTTGTTGTTGTTGTTTCCATTCACTGGGTAGATCTTCCTCTATCCCTTTCTTTTGGGCCTACGTGTGTCTTTGCACATGAGATGGGTCTCCTGAATACAGCACACTGATGTGTCTTGACTCTTTATCCAATTTGCCAGTCTGTGTCTTTTAACTGGGGGCATTTAGCCCATTTACATTTAAGGTTAATATTGTTATGTTTGAATTTGATCCTGTCATAATGATGCTAGCTGGTTATTCCGCCCATTAATTGATGCAGTTTCTTCATAGCGCCAATGGTTTTTATACTTCGGCATGTTTGTGCAGTGGCTGGTACTGGTTGTTTCTTTCCATGTTTAGTGCTTCCTTCAGGAGTTCTTGTAAGGCAGACCTGGTGGTGACAAAATCCCTCAGCATTTGCTTGTCTGTAAAGGATTTTATTTCTCCTTCACTTATGAAGCTTAGTTTGGCAGGATATGAAATTCTGGGTTGAAAATTCTTTTGTTTAAGAAAGTTGAATATTGGCCCCCACTCTCTTCTGGCTTATAGGGTTTCTGCAGAGAGATCTGCTGTTAGTCTGATAGGCTTCACTTTATGGGTAACCCAACCTTTCTCTCTGGCTGCCCTTAACATTTTTTCCTTCATTTCAATCTTGGTAAGTCTGATGATTACGTGTCTTGGGTTTTCCCCTCTCAAGGAGTATCTTTGTGGTATTCTCTGTATTTCCTGAATTTTAATCTTAGCCTGTCTTGCTAGGTTGGGGAAGTTCTCCTGGATGATATCCTGAAGAGTGTTTTCCAACTTGGTTCCATTCTCCCCATCACTTTCTGGCTCATCAATAAAACATATATTTGGTCTTTTCACATAGTCCCACTTTTCTTGGAGGCTTCATTCATTTCTTTTGACTCTTTTTTCTCTAATCTTCTCTTCTCTCTTTATTTCATTAATTTGATCTTCAGTCATTGATCTCTTTCTTCTGCTTGATTGAGTTGGCTATTGAAGCTTTTTTGTGCTTCCCCAAGTGCTCATACTGTGGTTTTCAGCTCCATCAGATCATTTAAGCTCTTCTCTACTCTGGTTATTCTAGTTAGCCATTCGTCTAATCCTTTTTCAAGGCTTTTAGCTTCCTCGTGATGGGTTAGAACATGTTCATTTAGCTCAGAGAAGTTTGTTATTACTGACCTTCTGAAGCCTACTTCTTTCAACTTGCCAAACTCAGTCTTCGTCCAGTTTTGTTCCCTTGCTGTCGAGGAGTTGTGTTGCTTGGGGGAGAAGAAGCGTTCTAGTTTTTGGAATTTTCAGCCTTTCTGCTCTGGTTTCTCCCCATCTTTGCGTTTTTATCTACCTTTTGTCTTTGATGTTGGTGACCTTTGGATGGGGTTTTGGTGTGGATGTCCTTTCCATTGATGTTGATGCTATTCCTTTCTGTTTGTTAATTTTCCTTCTACCAGATAGGCCATTCAGCTGCAGGTCTGTTGGCGTTTGCTGGAGGTCCACTCTAGACCCTGTTTGGAGTATCACCAGTGGAGGCTGCAGAACAGCAAATATTGCTGCCTGATCCTTCCTCTGGAAGCTTCTTCCCAAAGGGGTACCCGCCTGTATGAGGTTTCTTTTGGCCCCCTACTAGGAGGTGTCTCCCAGTCAGGCTACAAGAGGGTCAGGGACCTACTTGAAGAGGCAGTCTGTCCATTATTAGAGCTCGAACACCATGCTGGGCAGAACCATTGCTCTCTTCAGAGCTTTCAGGCAGGGACGTTTAAGTCTGCAGAAGATGTCTGCTGCCTTTTGTTCAGATATGCCCTGCCCCCAGTGGTGGAATTTAGAGAGGCAGTAGGCCTTGCTGAGCTGTGGTGGGCTTCGCCCAGTTTGAGGTTCCCTGCTGCTTTGTTTGCACTGTGAGCATAGAACCACCTACTTAAGCCTCAGCAATGGCAGATGCCACTCCCCCGACCAAGCTCCAGCATCCCAGGTGAATCTCAAACTGCTGCACTAGCAGTGAGCAAGGCTCTATGGGCATGGGACCCACTGAGCAAGGCATGGGAGGGAATCTCCTGGTCTGCCATTTGCAAAGACCATGGGAAAAGCACACTATTTGGGCAGGAGTGTACTGTTCCTCCAGGTACAATCTCTCATGACTTCCCTTGACTAGGAAAGGGAAATCCCCCAACCCCTTGTGCTTCCTGGGTGAGGCAGCACCCCGCCCTGCTTCAGCTCACCCTCCCTGGGCTGCACCAACTGTCCAACCAGTCCCAGTGAGATGAACCAGTTACCTCAGTTGGAAATGCAGAAATCGCCCATCTTCTGCATCAATCTCGCTGGGAGCTGTAGGTTGGAGTTGTTCCTATTCGTCCATCTTGGAAGCGACCTATGCAGAAGTTTTAATCTAAATAAAATACAAAGGATATCAGATTAAGGTGGTATATTAGATTTCACATTTTTAATAACTTGTCTTTTTGAAAGAGATGCCATGTTTGACCCAAATTTTAAAAAGATTGCCCACAGCACACCCCCTTCCCCCATGACACTGCCATGGTCTTCAGAGTGTTGGCAATAAGAAGCCTGAAGGCCTCACCCCAACCAAGACCCTACCCCTGCACCAACACTGCTGCCAGAGTGAAACTAGGCATGGAAAACAACTTATCTGCCCCATCCCTGAGCAGCCACTGCTGCCAGTGTGAATGTGCACAGAGGGTGCAGAGAGTCCTGCACATACCAGATCCTGCCACATGCTAACACCACCACTGGTGGGAACAGGAGTAGTCCCAATGTGGTGAAGGGGCACCCCCCAGCCATACTGCCACCACTGCTGCTGTGAATGCTTGCATAGAGTCTGCTAGCGCCCTGCCACAGCTAATAAGTGTGTTCCCCACTGCGCTCTCACTGTAACTAATGACGGCATATGTGATTGAGGACAGATCATGTTGTCACTACCCTATGAAGTGCTTTGGCTGGCAATATCTTTTTGAGTGTTGTGACCAGCAGTCTTGGAATACTTTGGCTCCTCCAGTGCAGCAAGGTCCTAACCTTGAGGCTCAAGAGAAAAAGCCAAGCCAATAAAAGTCCCCCAGAATTAGAGCATGCAGTTCTGAAGTCCTGAACCAAGCCTTGGCCCGCTAAAATCTTTCAGTAACAAAGCCAGTCGACTGAACCCACCTTATACCACAATCAAATCCCCAAGGTCATCAAATAGGATAAGGCAAAATTTAAAAAGCCCATCCAAAGGGGAACAACTTCAAAGATTGAAGGGACATCAGCCCAGAAAGACGAAAAAGAGTCAATGCAAGCACTCTGACAGGCGACCAAACTAGTTTTCCAGCAAGGGTTCTTAACCAGGTTGAGATGGGTGAAATGACATAAATAGAATTCAGAATATGGTTAGGCATAAAGATCATTGAGATTCAGGAGAATTGAAACCCAGTCTAAGAAAGGTAAGAATAACCATAAAATAATACAGGAACTGACAGACAAAATAGCCAGTATAGAAAAGTACATAACCAACCTGATGGAGCTGAAAAACACTCTATAAGAATTTCATAATGAAATCACAAGTATTAACAGTAGAATAGACCAAGCTGAGGAAAGAATCTCAAGCTTAAAGACTGGCTTTAAGATATAAGGCAGTGAGACAACATTAAAGAAAAAAAGAATGAGGCTGGGGGCAGTGGCTCATGTCTGTGATCCCAACACTTTGGGAGGCCAAATCAGGTGAATCACTTGATGTCAGTAGTTCAAGACCAGCCTGGCCAACATGGTGAAACCCCATCGCTACTAAAAATGCAAAAAGTAGCCAGGTGTAGTGGTGCACACCTGTATTCCCAGCTATTTGGGAGGCTGAAGTGGGAGAATCACTTGAACCCTAGAGGTGTAGGTTGCAGTGGGCCGAGATTATGCCACTGCACCTCTAGCCTGGGTGACAAAGCGAGAAACTCTTTCTCAAAAAAAAAAAAGAAAAAAAAAAGAAAAAAGAAAAGAAAAAGAAAAAAAATGAAATGGAAAGAATAAACAAAACCTCCAAGAAATATGAGATTATGCAAAAGGACTGAATCTATGACTCACTGGGTCTCTGAAATAGATGAGAAGAATGGAAATGACTCAGAAAACAAATTTCAGGATATCATCCATGAGAACTTCCTCAACCTAGCTAGAAAGGCCAACATTCAAATTCAGAAAGTGTAGAGAACCCTGCAAAATACTTCACAAGAAGATCATACCCAAGACACATAATTATCAGAAGCTCCAAGGTCAAAATGAAAGAGAAAATATTAAAGGCAGCTAGAGAGAAAGGACAAGTCATCTACAATGGGAAGCCCATCAGACTAACTGCAGACATCTCTACAGAAACCCTGTAAGCCAGAAGAGATTGAGGGACTATATTCAACATTCTTAAAGAAAAGAAATTTCATCCAAGAATTTTATATCTAACTAAACTAAGCCTCATAAGTGAAGGAGAATAAAATCCTTTTCAGAGAACCAAATGCTAAGGAAATTCATTACCACCAGACCTGCTTTACAAGAGACTCTTAAAGAAGTACTAAATATGGGTAGGTGGCTGCCAAGATGGCTGAATAGGAACAGCACCAGTCTGCATCTCCCAGTGAGATCAACACAGAAGGTGGGAGATTTCTGCATTTCCAAAAGAAGTACCCAGCTCATCTCATTGGGACTGGTTAGACAGTGGGTGCAGCCCATGGAGAGTGAGCTGAAGCAGGGTGGGGCTTCACCTCACCCAGGAAGTGAAAGAGGTTAGGGAACTCCCTCCCCTAGCCAAGAGAAGCCATGAGGGACTGTGCCATGAGGGACGATGCATTCTGGCTCAGATACTATGCTTTTCCCATGGTCTTCACAATCCACAGACCAGGAGATTGCCTCGGGTTCCAACACCACCAGGGTCCTGGGTTTCAAGCACTAAATTTGGCAGCCATTTGGGCTGACACTGAGCTAGCCACAGGAGTTTTTTTTCATAACCCAGTGGCTCCTGGAATGCCAATGAGACAGAACTGTTCACTCCCCTGGAAAGGGGGTGGAAGCCAGGGAGCCAAGTCGTCCACCTCAGTGGGTCCTACCCCCATGGAGCCCAGCAAGCTAAGATCCACTGGCTTGAAATTCTTGCTGCCAGCACAGCAGTCTGATGTAAACCTAGGATGCTCGAGCTTGGTGAGGGGAGAGGTGTCTGCCATTTCTGAGGCTTGAGTAGGAGGTTTTCCCCTCACAGTGTAAACAAAGGCGCCAGGAAGTTCAACATCAAAAAAGACATCTGCCCAGACACCCCATCTGAAAGTCACCAACATCAAAGACCAAAAGTAGATAAATCCATGAAGATGAGGGAAAAAAACAGCCCAAAAAGTATGAAAATTCCAAAACCAGAACATCTCTTCTCCTCCAAAGGATCACAACTCCTCACCAACAAAGGAACAAAACTGGATGGAGAATGAGTTTGATGAATTGACAGAAGTAGGCTTCATAAGGTGGGTAATAACACACTCCTCAGAGCTAAAGGAGCATGTCCTAACCCAATGCAAGGAAGATAAGAATCTTGAAAAAAGGTTAGAGGAATTGCTAACTAGAATAACCAGTTTAGAGAAGAACATAAATGACCTGATGGAGCTGAAAAACATAGCATGAAAACTTTGGGAAGCATACACAATTATCAATAGCAGAATCAATCAAGCCGAAGAAGGGATATCAGAAATTGAAGATCAACTTAATGAAATAAAGCGTGAAGACAAGATTAGAGAAAAAAGAATGAAAAGGAACAAACAAAGCCTCCAAGAAATATGGGACCATGTGAAAAGACCAAATCTACATTTGATCGGTGTACCTGAAAGTGACAGGGAGAATGGAACCAAGCTGGAAAACACTCTTCAGGATATTACCCAGGAGAACTTCCCCAACCTAGCAAGACAGGCCAGCATTTAAATTCAGGAAATACAGAGAACACCACAAAGATACTCCTCAAGAAGGGAAACACTGAGACACATAATCATCAGATTCACCAAGATTGAAATGAAGGAAAAAATGTTAAGGGTGGCCAGAGAGAAAGGTTGGGTTACCCACAAAGTGAAGCCCATCAGACTAACAGTGAATCTCTTGGCAGAAGCCCTACAAGCCAGAAGAGAGTGAGGACCGATATTCAACATTCTTAAAGAAAAGAATTTTCAATCCAGAATGTCATATCCAGCCAAACTAAGCTTCATAAGCGAAGGGGAAATAAATTCCTTTACAGATAAGCAAATGCCACCAGGCCTGCCATACAAGAGCTCCTGAAGGAAGCACTAAATATGAAAAGGAAAAACAAGTTTCAGCCACTGCAAAAACATACCAAATTCTAAAGTCAATCAACACTAAGAAGAAACTGCATCAACTAACGGGCAATAAACCAGCTAGCGTCATAATGACAGGTTCAAATTCACACGTAACAATATTAACCTTCAATGTATATGTGCTAAATGCCTCAGTTAAAAGATACAGACTGGCAAATTGGATAAAGGGTCAAGATCCATCAGTGTGCTGTATTCAGGAGACCCATCTCATGTGCAAAGACACACATGGACTCAAAATAAAGGGATGGAGGAAGATCTACCAAGCAAATGGAAAGCAAAAAAAAGGAGGCGTTGCAATCCTAGTCTCTGATAAAAGAGACTTTTAACCAACAAAGATCAAAAGAGAAAAAGAAGGCCATTACATAATGGTAAATGGATCAATTCAACAAGAAGAGCTAACTATCCTAAAAATATATGCACCCGGTACAGGAGCACCCAGATTCATTATGCAAGTTTTTAGAGACCTACAACGAGACTTAGACCCTCACACCATGTTAGTGGGAGACTTTAACAACCCACTGTCAATATTAGACAGATCAACAAAACAGAAAATTAACAAGGATATTCAGGACTTGAACTCAGCTCTGTACCAAGCTGACTTAATAGACATCTACAGGACTCTCCACCCCAAATGAACAGAATATACATTATTCACATCACCACATCTCACTTATTCTAAAATTGACTACATAATTGGAAGTAAAACACACCTTGGCAACTGAAAAAGAATGGAAATCATAACCAACAGTCTCTCAGACCACAGTGCAATCAAATTAGAACTCAGGGTTAAGAAACCCACTCAAAACCACACAACTACAAGGAAACAGAACAATGTGCTCCTGATGACCACTGGGTAAATAATGAAATTAAGGCAGAAAAAATTAAGTTTTTTGAAACAAATCAGAACAAAGACACAATGTACCAGAATCTCTGGGACACATTTAAAGCTGTGTTTAGAGGAAAATTTATAGCACTAAATGCCCACAGGAGAAAGTGGGAAAGATCTAAAGTTGACACTCTAACATCACAATTAAAAGAACTAGAGAAGCAAGAGCAAACAAATTAAAAAGCTAGCAGAAGACAAGAAATAACTAAAATCAGAGCAGAACTGAAGGAGATAGAGACACAAAAAAATCCTTCAAAAAATCATTAAATCCAGGAGCTGGTTTTTTGAAAAGATTAACAAAATAGATAGACTGCTAGCCAGGCTAATAAAGAAGAAAAGAGAGAAGAATCAAATAGACACAATAAAAAATGATAAAGGGGATAGCACCACTGATCCCACAGAAATACAAACTACCATCAGAGAATATTATAAGGGGACCCACCTCTACTCAAATAAACTAGAAAATCGAGAAGAAATGGATAAATTCCTAGACACATACACCCTCCCAAGACTAAACCAGGAAGAAGCCAAATCCCTGAATAGACCAATAACAAGTTCTGAAATTGAGGCAATAATGAATAGCCTACCACCAAAAAAATTCCAGGACCAGATGGGTTCACAGCCAAATTCTACCAGAGCTACAAAGAGGGGCTTGTACCATTCCTTCTGAAACTATTCCCAACAATAGAAAAAGAGGGACTCCTCCCTAACTCATTTTATGAGGCCAGCATCATTCTAATACCAAAACTTGCCAGAGACACAATAGAAAAAGAAAATTTCAGGCCAATATCCCTGATGAACATTGATGTGAAAATCCTCAGTATAATACTGGCAAACTGAATCCAGCAGCACATCAAAAATCTTATCCACCATGATCAAGTCACCTAGAGCCAGACATTATAAAAGAAACTATTTGACCCAGCAATCCCATTCCTCGGTGTAAACCCAAAGGATTATTAATCATTTACTATAAAGACATATGCACATATATGTTTATTGTGGCACTATTCACAATAGCAAAGACTTGGAACCCACCAAAATGGTCATCAGTGATAGACTGGATAAAGAAAATGTGGCACATATATACCATGGAATACTATGCAGCCATAAAAAAGGATGAGTTCATGTCCTTTGCACAGAGACATCGATGAAGCTGGAAACCATCATTCTCAGCAAACTAACACAGGAACAGAAAAACAAACACTGCATGTTCTCACTCATAAGTGGGAGTTGAACAATGAGGACATATGGGCACACGGAGGGGAATATCACACACCAGGGCCTTTCGGGGAGTGGGTGGCTAGGGAAGGGATAGCATTTGGAGAAATACCTAAGGTAGATGATGGGTTGATGGGTGCAGCAAACCACCATGGCACACCTATGTTACAAACCTGCACATTCTGCACATGTATCCCAGAACATAAAGTATAATAAGAAAAACAGAGAAATACTAAATATGGAAAGAAAAGACAGTAAACAGCCACTACAAAAACACACCTTACACAGGGTAGTAACACTATATATAAAGCAATCACACAAACAAGTTGGCATAATAAACAACTAAAATCATGGTGATAGGATCAAACCCACACATAGCAATCCTGACTTTGAATGTAATCAAACTAAATGTCCCAATTAAAAGGGACAGAGTGGCAACCTGCAGAAAGAAGCAAGACCCAATGGTATGCTTTCTTCATAAGACCCATCTCACATGCAAGGACACCCATAGGCTCAAAATAAAGGTATGGAGACACATCTACCAAGCAAATGGAAAACAGAAGTGAGCAGGCGATGCCATCCTAGTTTCTGGCAAAACAGACTTTAAACCAACAAAGGCCATAGAGACAAAGAATGGCATTCCATAATCATAAAGGATTCAGTTCAACAAAACATCTAAGTATTATAAATATATATGCATCTAACACAGGAGCACCATATTCATAAAGAAAGTTTTTAGGGACCCTCAAAAAGACTTCAACTCCCACACTATAATAGTGGAAGACTTCAACTCCCATTGACAGTATTAGACAGATCTTTGAGGCAGAAAATTAACAAAAACATTCAAGACCTGAAGTCAACATTGGACCAAATGGACCTGATAGACAGCTACAGAACTTTTCACCTCAAAACAACAGAATATATATATTCTTCTCATCTCCACATGGCAGATACGCTAAAATAGACCACAAAATCAGACACAAAACAATCCTCAGCAAAAGCAAAAGAACTGAAATCATACTAACCACTCTCTTGAACCATAGCTCAATACAAATAGAATTCAAGACTAGAAAATTGCTCAAAGCCATACAATTACATGGAAATTAAACAATCTGCTCTGGAATAACTTTTGAGAAAATAATAAAATTAAGGCTGAGATAAAAAAGTTATTTGAAACTAATGAGAACAAAGGTACAGCATACCAAAATCTATGGGACACAGATACTACTCAACTGGGTACAGATCTCAACGTCCACTGAAATTGAACTTAACCCTACTACTATGTTCTGACAGTTGTGCAGTAGCGCTGAGATACTTAGAGCATATGGCTCATTTCTTAAACCAAATAACTGAGGTGGGGTTAAGACTTTCTTCCATAAAAATTGTAAAAGAAACCATCTGCTCAACACCTGCATACATGAAATTATGACGTTATCAAGTTGGAAGAAAAAGAGACAAGGTCCCAATGTGGTGGATAGGAACTAAGTTAAACCTATCACTAGCAAGGTCACTAAAGTGGTAAGTTCTCTAATGTTGCTGAGGAGAAAGAATGATAAGACACCATTATACGATTTGTTTCTGGACTGGGTGTGAAGGACAGCAAATAAAGTCAAATAAACAACATGACTACTAGATAGAGAATTTCAAGCCATATACATGTGTGTGTGTGTGTGTGTGTGTGTGTGTGTTTATACACACACAGTACATAGATAGATAGATAGATAGATAGATAGATAGATAGATAGGATAGTGGATATAGATACAGATACAGGCATACCTCGGACAATAAAGTATTCCTCTCTACAATGTTAACTATTATAGGCATCATTTACATTTTTATGCATATATCTGATACTGCAATTGTTATTACTAGATATCACAAGAGAAAGAAAATATAACTGAACATTTAGAGAAAAATTGACAGTAGAATCAGATCACAGGTGATCCATATATTAAACTTATAATGCAAGTAATTGAGAGTATAGTGAATATATTCAGTAAAATAGAGGAAAAGATCTACATAATAGCTAAAGAGATGGATAACATCAATTAGATTTAAAAAGTCAAATATATTCTAGAAATAAAATATGCTATCTAAAATTAATAATTTGATAAAATAGCTTAACAGTAGATTCCATACAGCACAAGAAAACAGGCAAGACAAACTAAAGCTAAAGAGAAAAAGTCGTTTTTTAAAAATGTAGAACAGAGCATAAGAGGCCTATGGAATGCTAAGCAGTAAAGCAATTCCTGAGAAGCAGTGAGTATGAAGCTGCTATGTTAATTTGTCACTCTTCCGAAGATTCAGCTTCTAAACAAATAATAAGCCCATATAGATTTAGATAATTTATTACTAACACAGATAGCATAAGCAAGATCAATATATTGTCAGCTTCTCATGTCCCTTGTTCCGCAGAATAACTCTGAAGTGAAAGAGGCAGATGAAAAATAACATAAGCAATGGGTTGCTCTGCAAGACAGAGCAAATTGTAAGTTGTGGGTGAGTGATTTTATAGTCTCCACCTATATCTAAATGCATGCAAAGTGTAAAATACCATGGCTCACCGGACCCATGATTGTAGATGGTTAACTATTGTGTGAAAATTAGTAAGGCACTTGAAAAATGACCTTCTGATAGTTCCTCACAAGACTGCTTATCTTTCTGTGTTCCAGGAAGGCTCACATGATATTTTGCCAAGAGTTGGGTCAGACTGTGCTCCTCTCTCTGTCTCCTGTGGGTCATGTAAAGTTGCCAGGGAAAGAGGATGTAACTGTTCTCCTTGGAAGAACTCAAGGAAAATTTCTTACTTACTAGCAACTGGAGTTCCAGAGACAGAGGACAGGGATAAACAGGAAAAAATGATACTATGTGTGTTATTAGCTGAGGATTTCCCAAAATTGTTGTAAGCCATCAATCGTCAGACTGAAGAAGCCCTGTAAATCCCAAACATGAAAATATACATAAGAAAGCACAAAAGCTTATTATAGTCAAAAGATGCAAACTGAATATGAAATATGAAAATTTCTCTTCAGATATAAAGAGAAAATATTAAAAGAAAACAGAGGGAAAAACTTGTTTTTTTCAGAAAGCACCCAAAAAACCTGATAGTCAACTTCACACAAACAGAAGCCAGAAGACAATTGACTGCCAAAGTGCTGGAAGAAAATCACTGCTAATGTAAAATTACATTCCAGAGAAAATACGATATACAAAATTCATAAAATAAATATTCAGAGAATCTATTACGGCATGCTTGCACTGAACGTTTTTATAGAAAAATCTAGGTGACATTCTTCAGACAGAAATAAAATGATAACACAAAGAAATATAGAAATCCAGGAAGGAACAAAAATCAATCAAAAGGGTAAATAAATAGCCCATTATATTGGCTGTGAAAAATTAAAAATAACTTCTTAAGGACATTAAATATATGAAGAATTAAAAGCCATAAGAACAATAATATGTCTTTTAAGATTCTAGTATTTTCAGGGATACAGCAAAGTAAATATTTATATTACTATAGTGTGTCAACAGTGCATATAATCTTTAGTGTAGCCACCAAAATAACAGTACAAATGTATAATTAGGATAGAATTAATTAAAGATGAAATAACCAAAACGAGTGTAATTACATATCAGGAACTGTGAAAGAGAAAAGATCTGGCATAACTGAATTGTGGGAAAATATATTCAATTATAAATGCTCTAAATAACTTTAACATCTATTGGAATAAAAATAAAACCCAATTAAGAGCACAAATCCTGTAAAGGATATAGTAAAAGAAAGAATTTTTGAAATGGAACATATATCCAAGAACACTTCACTTTGAAATAATTATTAAATAAGTAAAAGAGATGCTAAAAATTACTTGATTAAGCATGTAGCAGCTGCAAAATACTAAAATAAAGGAATTGGAAAACAATAATACTTGATAATTAATATTTAACACTTGATCATATTTTCAATATTATTTGAATTATTCAAAGTGAAAAAGTATGACCTTAGATGTCATAATATATGCCGTGTGTGTGTTTATAGATGTGTATATATATGTGTGTGTATATAAATGTATACATGTTTGTGAGTGTATGTGCATATACACACACCTATCATATGTGTATATATATATATGTGTACATAAAATGAAACTTCAGCATATGAATTATAAAGCAAAATAAAATGTAACATCTACCAGAAAAAAAAAGACAAATTACCTAAAATGAATGACATAAACTGAGAGGAATTTTCTTATAAGGATCAATAAAAACCAATAAAAATAAAATAATAAAGTATATTCAACATTATGGATAAATTTCATACATTATGAATATACCTTACAAAATAACATATTCATATTACTTATTACAATAAAATAAAACATCATGTTGCCACTTGCTATTTTAAGAAGCCATTGAATCTAATTTTGCAAATATTAAACGTAGAAGAGTATATTAGAATGAGTTCAATGCAGTATTCAAAGTGCATATACTCTGTGTATAGTTAACAATTCTACTTTTACACAAATAAAATAATTGTATAAGAGCATGCACAAGAATGATATCTGTCAGGCTGGAGGCTTGGTTACTTTTAACAGATGGAAAAAAGAAACTTGAAATGTGTCAGAGAGACACATTAGACAGAAGTATTCAACACTGTCTTCGGTTTTTGTTGCTGTTTATGTTAGATGCAATTAAAAAAATACTGTACTTGATGTTATGTTATTTTCTGGCCTTATCTGTATCCTATAAACAGTTCATAATGTAAAAAGTTAATGCAAATATTTAATGAATATTTCCATAGAAGCTAGATTTTTTTTATTTATTGTAAAGTACATCATTTTCATAATACTAAATTCAACATTCTATATAAAATAGGCACAATATATGTTGTGCTGCTATAATTTCAAAAAGACTAAAATATGAATATT
The DNA here is from genome assembly GCF_000001405.40 of Homo sapiens. Taxonomy (NCBI): domain Eukaryota; kingdom Metazoa; phylum Chordata; class Mammalia; order Primates; family Hominidae; genus Homo; species Homo sapiens. Next base: position 134,778,260 of record NC_000004.12, on the reverse strand, counting down.
TAATATAAAAAATAAATGCTTTAGAATCTAAGAAATGTAGTTTATTTACTTGACTGCATTTACACCAGTCTCAATGGATGAAGGCTTCTTTGCTTAATAAGAATTAAGGAATAATCTGTCCCATTTCATATGAAGGTGATTTCAGTTGTCTTCACCCTGAAAACTATTTGTATCACTGTTATGGCAGCTGTCTCTATTGAAAAATTTCTATCTTATCTCCCAATAATAGCTTGTATTTGCAAAGGGTCATCAACATCCTACTTTCTCATTTGCTGTATGAATCAAAAAGCTTAGTATTCTTAATTTAACTCCAGAATCTGTTTATCTTAGCAAAGAAAAAATATCAATTACTAAGCAATATCCTTGGAGTCACCTGTGGTTTTAGACATAAACATTATTAACTTAGAAGTGATTCCACAAATGAACCAACAGGCAGGGGGAGTCCTTGACCTATTAAACATAGCTATAGGATTCCTCAGATAATGTATTCCACCGGTAGCAGCCCCAGGTAAATTCAAGAGACTAATTTTGTTCCTCTTCAAATTGCGTTCAATCAATGGCTCAGTCCATTTGGAAAATCAATATCCACAACTATCATCTTTGAAGAACCACATTATTCAGCAAAACCTAATTATCATAAATACTTGCTCTATTACAACAGCTCTCCACTATTGTGTTAAAATTATGAAATAAGATTGTCCTGACATTTTTAGTGAGTGAATCTGTAACAGCAACAGGAAATTAGCTTTCTGCACTATAATGTGCTATTACATTTTTGTATTGTGATTCTTTTTCTAGTTTGGAGATTTGACTGTTCAAAATTAATCTGGAGCTGTACTAATCATCACCTCTTTCAACTTTCTGAATTCATAAAAATAATGATGCAAAGAAGGGCTGAAAATCTTATGCATCTCCAAAAATACTGAGAAACATCTACAAATTAAAAACTAATTTAAAGCAGAACTATATATACAGCTATTTATAAGATAAATACTTTCAACTTCAAATGGAGTAAGTCTGTATCAAAGAACTGAATACACTAGAAAACAAAACATGCATAAAATAAGAATAATTAATTACTATACTTATTCTAAATATCCTCTAAATATACTTTCCAGCTGTGAATACTTCAACAGACTCCATTAATTATGATATTGCTGACTCCATTAACCATGCCCAGGGTGGATCAAAGAAGCTGTAGGTGCTATGAAGCACATAGGAGTTATATTCTAACAATGACTTGGCTTCCAAACAATCAGTGTGAGAGAAAGATTGATTCAGAATTGAGGAAACATTCTATCAGTACCCTAGAGATTGCTAATGATATAGTTCTCCCTGACTGGACACTTAATACAGAAATTACTTGGCTAAATAGTGAGATAAATTAAGGTGTTGAATTGCAAGCTTAATTTAAAATTGCTGAGGACAAGTTACATCCATGTCAAACAATGAGTGTTAAATTATTATAATGACCCTTACCAATAAATTCAGTAGTTACAATAAGGTAAAAAAAAGAAGCAGTGAAACTGTCATAGGTTTAATTTACATTAAATCAATTTATGCTTAATTGTTTAATGTACTGTCTCCTTAGCCACCATTGCCAGAAACCTTCAGTTAAATATTTAAATATAGAGTCCATAATAGTGCAACAGTTTTGTGATGGTGAGATTGGTGGAGAGCTCTATAAAGAAAATCAACCCAGAAACCAATTTCATCCATAACTGACAAAATACAGATTTGGTATCAGAGATGTGTAAGTAATAACTTACTGAGAAGCCTTTTGAATATTAAGAACAATGGGTTTCTCTTTAACATTTAGAAACTTAACATTTCTCTTTAACATTTAGGAACTCATGTTAAAGAATAAGCAATCACTGTCAAACTTGAAGTTGTGAAAATCCAACAATAAAATTCTGAGCTGATATAAACAATAGTAAAATAAATATATTCTCAAAGTGCACACACACACACACACACACACACACACACCCCTTTTTTTGAAGAACCCAGGCTAATATAGATTTAGGTACTGAGAATGGTTCTAGAGGAAGATAAATTTAAGGATGAGTCTTAATTGTAAGATTTCTGGAATTCTCCCTCCAAACTGATTGGATTTGAAGATGCTAGTGACTCTATTTTCAGTGTTAAAGAGAGCACTGATAGTCTATAGGGTGATCTGGCAATAAAGATTTGCAAATATTTTCTTTGAGTATTCCTAATTAGGCACTTAGAAGAAGAAAGGAGCTGGGTTACTGTGCGTATGATACTTGGCCGGTTACTTGTAATGTCACTGAAAAAGTGATAAAAATGCAATAAACACAGAGATTCAAATTCCTAGGTCAAGTGCCCCGTAAAGGACTGATTGCTCTTATTTATGCCCTGATGGAGACCCTTATCTCCTGTAGCCACAAGGCTGGGACTACTGAAGAGCAAATGCAAAATCTAACCGAAACTGGTTGATTTACAAGTTGAACTTTCAGCTTAGAAGGGTACCTGTTCTTACAGTGAGGGCAATTGGTTGGGAAAGAGTGGTATCTTGTAAGTTGAAATGGGGAAGCTGGAGGCATTGATTATCTAAATTACGATGAACCATTTTTGCCAGTAGAAGATGTCTCTCCACCCTAGTAGTGGTGGCCTCTCCACTTCCCTCTGAGATTAGCTCTGCATTGCCTCTGGAGACTGTAATGACCCCCACTAAGTAAGTTGCTATGCAAGACAGTGCTGATTCTCCTTGGAAGCAATCCTACCACCCTTCTTTGCTTCTAAACCTATAAGTAGATGCAAGTCCCACCAGGCCCCTAAAGGTACAGCACAAACTGTGACCCATGAGGATGTGCACTAAACTCTAAAAGAACTACTTGAGTTTTCTAACTTGAACTGATGGAAATCTGAAGAACTTGTGTGGAAATGGTTATTATTAATGTGTGGGATAATGGTGGAAGAAACGTTAAGTTAGATCAGGCTGAAGTTATCGGTAAGTGGTCAATAAACTGAGATGCTGCTCATTAAATCTCAATAAACAGAGATTCTGCAATTAATGTTGTAGCACAGGGAGTTAGAAAGAGCCCCATTGTCATGGGATCTTTGGGGTGTCACTTTGCCAGCTGGAAACCTCTGTGGCCAGTGGTGCCTCCTGAATGCATATTGCTCAGGCCTACTGGGCTTGTTCAGCCCACTCAGCCAGGGAGACTGTGCTCTGCTCACGCTACTGACCTGGATCCCACACCTGCCAAGGGTGAGCCAGGTGCAGAGTGGCAAGGCATGTGTGGGCAAGTGAGCACAGGGTCCAGTCATTGTGCACAGCTGGGCATGCCAGTTGCTGCAGTGGGGCAGGCAGCTCCAGGCACTGGCACAGGTGCTGGCTCCATGTGAGGCTGCAGCTAGACCAGATGTACCACATGTGGCTTCTGCTGCAGACATTTGTGCCTGGATGACAGCAATGCTATGGTGCCCAGGAGCTTGGAGACACCAGGAACCACAGACACCAAAGAAGGTGTCAGAGCCCTGGCTTGGGAAGCCCCTAGGTCTGAGCTCCCCAAAGGCTCACAGCTCTTCTCTCCTTCTCATTGCCCTCAATGTGGCAAGTGGGAGGGGCATGTTTCAGCCCCGTTTTTGTTACAGCTCTTTCAGTCCCACCATTCCGATGGACCTGAATTCTTGTCCCACATCTAGGAAGAATGAGGTACTCTGACAACTGGAGGTTGAGCAAGATGGAAAGGAGCTTCATTGAGTGACAGAACAGCTCTCAGGAGAACTGAACTGGGTAGCTCCTTTCTGCGGGCAGGTTATCCTGACAAGTGTCCAGCTCTAAGTGGAGAGGAGACCCACCATGAGTAGCTCCTTTCCACAGGGAGGTCATCCCAAGAGTGTTGGAGTCTGATTGAGTCCAGGGTTTTTATGGGCTCAGAAGGGAAGAAATGTGTGCTGATTGTTCAATGTGTGGCCATGGTTGAGGCTGGAAAAATAACCATAAGTTCTCACTCCAGTCCACAGATTCCACCTGGAAGTGACAGCTCAGTCCTGATGCTTCAGGCCATCCCTGGTGTGAAGGTGGAGCTTAACCAGGGACCTGCCCATTTCTGCCTGTATTAGTCCATTTTTGGGCTGCTGACAAAGACATGCCTGAGACTGGGTGACCTATAAAGAAAAAGAAGTTTAATGGACTCACAGTTCCAGATAGCTTGGGAAGGCTCACAATCATGGCAGAAGACAAAGGAAGAGCAAAGGGACTTCTTACATGGCAGTGGGCAAGAGAGAGGACTTGTGCAGGGGAATTCCTTCTTATAAAATCATCAGATCTCCATGAGACTCACTCACTATCATGAGAACAACACAGGAAAGACCCACCCCCATGATCCAATTACCTCCCATTGGGCCCCTCCCGTGACAGGTGGGAATTGTGGGAGCTACAATTCAAGATGAGATTTCAGTGGAGAGAGCCAAACCACATCACTGCCCTGGAGCCTGTCTGCCTCCTGCCACCATCAATCATGTCATCCACAGAGCCCAGGGTGTTCATGCAAAGTGGTGCCTACAGGCCTGCGCCAAGCTACCCTGAGTTCCACCTTGGACTCCCTCCCTGAGCTTGTCAGTGCCCAAACCCTGGGGGAACTGGGCGAGGCAGCACAGGGCTGGCAGTGCTACCCTGAGTGTGTGCACAACTGGCTGGATCATATCAGCACCCGTTCATGTCCACAATTTTCCTCCACCCCAGAGTGGACACCAGGAGCAGGGAGAGTTCAGGCAGTGGGAGCAGCACCCCCCTGTGGGGAATGGTGGGCTTCCCAGCCCCCAAATGCTCAGGGATGCCTAGGTCCATAGCCATAGCTTGTTGACTGCAGGTGTACCCGGGGTTATAGGGCCCTGCCAACTTGGAAGGGGGCAGGGCTCCCACCTGTGTCTGGCTCCTGCCAACTCCATGGAGTGCACAGCACTGGCCACGCCTTCCCCTCCTGCATCCAGTATCTTCACAGTAGCCAGTCCAGACAGGCCACAGCTGCCATCACCATCAGTTTATTTGGGTGGATGAAACATAGACCAAAAGGTGGCCCACCATTTGTACATTAGACATGCTAAACCTATCATATTTAATGTAGAGGAAGGGATTCAAAGGTTTAGAAAGACTGGAATGTTAGAGCGGTTTGTCACTTAAGACATATTCACCCACATTGTAGTGGTGATAGGGTAGGCTATCCAAAAGACAAATCTCTCACCACTACTGCAAGAAATAAATTTTTGCGGGAAGAAAACCTAGCATCCTTCAGGAGCTTTGTGGTTGCTCTTCTCTGTAACTCAGACCTTACAGTGGGAACTACAGTCACTGAACTGGGAAACCTAAATGCAATATAAGTAGTTGAATCATTAAGTCAGAGGGGCCCAGTGGCAGACCTCAACTGCCAAATGCAAGGTGGGTATTGACAACATGATGGAAAGCAGAGTCACAGCAGCAATCAGAACAGCCTGACTCCTGCAAACATATGGTGTTGGCTAGTTGATCATGGTGAAGTAGATAAGAAATGAAAGTTTACTAAGCTTTTACTTGATCTGTTTATTAGTCTGTTTTCATACTACTGTAAAGACTACTTGAGACTGGGTAATTTATGAAGACATGAGGTTTAATTGACTCACAGTTCTGCAGGCAGAGCAAAGGGGGAAGTGCCACACACTTTCAAACAGCCAGATCTCATGGAAACTCACTCACTATCAAGAGAACAGCAAGGGGGACGTCCCCTTGATTCAATCAACTCCCACCTGGCCCCTCACCCAACACATGGGGATTACAATTCAAGATGAGATTTGGGTGGGTATACAGAGCCAAATTATGTCAATCTATATAAACTGAAAATTTCTAGGTCGAGTGAACAAAAGTCTAACCTGAATCAACCAGAGATTCATGGCTCCTCAATCAATTTTCAGACTTGAAACAGTTTACTTAACCAAAACTCATTGAATTAAGGCAAGGCCAGGTCTCCACATGGAAGGACCTAGTACATTATCAAAAATTTATACTGTTAATCTTTCTGAAAGCCTTCCTCCAAAGATATCAATGGCTTTTTACCAGGTTAACTGTACATTGGGAAAAGGGAAATAATACAACTTTCAGAGACTACTAGACACTGGCTCTAAACTGATACTAATTCCAGGGGACCCAAAATGTTACTTTAGTCTACAAATCAAAGCAGGGACCTGTGAAGGTCATATGATTTATGAATTTTTGGCTCATGTCCATTTCTCAGTGAGCCCAGTGAGCCCCAGAACCTATTTTGTGGCTGTTTCCTAAGTTCTAGAATGCGTAATTGAAATAGATATATGCAGCTACTGGTAGAATCTCTACAATGGTTTTCTGACTTGTAGAGTAACGGATAGTATGGTGAAAAAGGGAGAGTGTAAGCCAATAAAACTACCTCTACTTTGGAAAATAGTAAAGCAAAAGCAGTATAGCAATTATGGAGGAATTGAGGAGATTAGTGCTACCATCAAAACTCAGAAGACATAAGGGTGGATTTCCCACTACATACTCATTCAAGTTGCCTACCTGGTGTGTGTGGAAGACAGAGGGACCATGGAGAATGACAGTGTACTATCATAAGCTTAGCCAGGTGGTGACTCCAATTGCAGCTGCTGTATGTGGTTTCATTGCTTAAAATTAACACATCCCTTGGTCCCTGGTATACAGCTATTAAGCTGGCAAATGTTTTCTTTTTTCTTTATACCTTTTAGTAAAGACCACCATAAGCAGTTTTCTTTCAGCTGACAAGGCCAGCTATATAACTTCACTGTCCCACCTCAGGGATATATAAACTCTCTGGCCCTATATAATAATGTAGTTTACACAGAACTTGATTTAATTTCCCTTCAACAAGATATTATACTGGTCCATCACATTGATGAAATTATGTTGATTTGATGTAGTGAACAAGAGGTAGCAACTACTGTAGACAGATTGATGAGATCTACACATGTCAGAGGGTGAGAAATAAATCTAACAAAAAACTATGGCCCTTCTACCTCAGTGAAATTTCTCGGGCTTCAGTGGTATGCAGCATGTCAAGATATCTCTTCTAAGGTGAAGGATAAGTTGTTGTGTCTGGCCCCACACAACCAAAAAAAAGGCATGATGCTTAGTGTGTCCCTAGATTTTGGAGAAAAAAAATGTTTTTCATTTGGGTGTATTACTTTGGCTTATTTACTGAGTGGCCCAATAAGCTGCCAGTTTTAAGTGGATTCCAGAATAAGAGAAGGATTTCCAACTCATACAGGTTGCTGTGCAAGCTGCTCTGCTGCTTGGACCATATGATCCAGCAGATTCAGTGACAGATAAAGTATCAATGGCACATAGGGATGCTGTTTGGAGTGACTGGCAGTTCTTTATAGGAGAATCACAGTGCAATCCTTAGGATATTGGAGCAAAGTGTCCTATCACCCATCCAAAAAAAAACTTTTCTTCTTTTTTGGAAACAGCTTTTGGCCTGCTCCTGGGCCTCAGTAGATACTGAACACTTAACTATGAACCATCACGTTACCATGTGACCTGAGCTACACATTTTGAAATGAGTATTATCAGATTCACCAAGCCATAAAATTGGGCATGCATAGTAGTACTACTTCAAATAGGTGTAGTATATATATGGCTGGGCTTAAGCAGACCTGAAGTCAGTTGCATGAAGAAGTGGCCCAAATGTCCTTGCTCTTGTCTCCTGCTACACTGTTGTTTCTCTCGCATCCTACCTATAGCATCACAGAGAGTTGCTTATAATCAATTGGCAGAGGAACAGAAGACTGTGGCCTTGTTTCCAGATCATTATGTATGATACGCAGAAACTGTTCAAAAGCGGACAGCTATATCCCCTTTCAGGGGCATTCTTAAAGGACGTTGGTGAAGGGAAATCCTCCTAGTGGATTTCTGAGCAGTGTACCTGGTTGTATACTTTGATTAGAAGGAAAAATGGCCAGATGTGGGATTATGTACTAATTCATGGGATTTGGCCTGTTGCTTGACTGAACAGTCAGACATTTGGAAGGAATATAATTGGAAAATTGATGACAAGGAAATTTGGGAAATAAGTATGTGGATAGACCTCTCTTAATGGACAATAGACATGAAGATTTTTGTGTCTTACATGAATACTCAAAAAGGAAGACCTTAGCAGAAGATTTTAATAATGAATTGGATAGGATGACCCAGTCTATGGATACCAATCAGGCTCTTTCTCTAGCCACCCTTGTCATAACCTAATGGGTTCATGAAAAAAGCGGTTATGGTGGCAGTGATGGAAGTTATGCATGAGCTCAGCATCATGGACTTCCACTCACGGAGACTGGCCTGGTTATGATCACTGCTTAGGTTTCCTCAATCTGCCAGCAGTAGAGACTAACACTGAGTCCTCAATATGGCACCATTTTTTAGAGGGATTAGCCAGCTACCTGGAAGCAGGTTGATTACATTGGACTGTTTTCAAACTACAAAGTAAAGCAATATTTTTTCTTACTGAAATGGACACTTACTTTGAATATGAATTAGCCTTAGTTTCATACAATGCTTCTGCCAAAAACTACAGTTTGTGTACTTGTGGGATGCTTTACCCAACATCATGGTATTTCACCCAGCACTATTTCTCATCAAGGAACATGCTTTACAGCGAATTTAATAGGGCTATGGGTCAGTCAATGTTCATGAAATTCTCAGATATTACCATGTTCCCCACCATCCTGAAACAACTAGTTTGGTAAAACGGTGGCATCCTTTTGAGGACTCAGTTACAGCACCAGATAGATGAAAATACGTTTCAGGGCTCAAATAACATTCTGCAGGAGGTTGTATACACTCTCAATTAGCATCTAATATATGATGTTATTTCTCCAACAGCCAAGATTCATGGGTACAGGGATCAAGGGGTGAAAATGAGACTAGCACCACTCACTATTACTCCTATTGACCCACTAGCTAATTTTTTTTTCCTGTTCCCACAACCTTATACACTGCTGGCCTAGAGGTATTTGTTCCAAAGAGAAACATGTTTCCACCATGAGACATAACAATGATCACACTAACCTGAAAATTAAGACTGCCACCTAGCCACTTTAAACTCCTCATGACTCTGAATCAACAAGCAAAGTAGGAAGTTTTGGTGTCAGCCAGGGTAATTGATTCTTACTACCAAAAAGAAATTGGACTGCTACTCCCTAATGGAAGAAGAGCATGTCTGGAATAAGGAGATTCCTTAAGTTATATCTTAGTATTGCTATACCCTGTGATTAATATCAATAAAAAATTACAACCACCCATTCCAGGCAGGACCACTAATGGCCCAGACCCTTCAATTGTAAAGATTTGGGTCACTCCATCAGGTAAAGAACCATGAAAACCTGAGATGCTTTCAAAGGTAAAAGGTAATAGAGAATGGGTAGACGAAGAAGGTAGTTGTAGATTCCAGTTACGACCATGTAACCAGTTACAGAAACATAGACTATAATTGTCATAAATATTCCTCCTTATTTTGTTATGAATATGTTTGTGTGTATAGTCATATGGATAATCTATTTTTTTCTTACCTCTCTTATCCCTTTATCACTTAATATAAGCTGTATTGATTTGATGATTTTATATCATTATACTTAAGTATTATTAATTTTATATTACAGCATTTAAGATAGAGAACAGTACACATCACTCAAACACTTTACTTCTCTTGAGAAAGAGATTAATGCTTTTCTAATTGTTCTCAGAATAGTTGTATTTTGTTAGGACAAATTATGGCCTTGCTATTTTCTTTATTTGGAGGTTAAATATGGCTTGAGGAGATGTGTATGGGTGCCAGGTCCACAAAAGGTGGACTTGAGATAATTAATTTTATATGTCAATTTGACTGGGCCATGAGGTGCACAGATTTTAGTTTATAGTAATTCTGGGTATGTTTTTGAGGATATTCCTGAATGAGATTAAAATTTGAATCAGTGGACTGTGTAAAGTAGATTGCTCTTTCCAATGTGGGTGGGCCTCATCCAATCCATTAAAAACCTAAATAGAATAAAAATCTGTGTGAGAAAGAATTATCTCCCAATATATAACTGTCTTTGAGCTAAGATATCAGTCTTCTCCTGCTTTAGGACCCAGCCTCAGACTGGAAATTGCACCATTCGTTCTCCTGGATGTCAGGTCCTTGGACCTGAGCTATAATTCTATCAGCTCCCCTGGTGTCAGCTTGACAAATGCAGATCTTGGGTCTTCTCAGGTTACATAATTTCTTCTGGTAAGTCTCTCTTATATTTATATTTATATTGTCTATTCTATATCTATAACTATATCATATTGGTTTTCTTTCTCTGGAGAACCCATGCTAATACAATAGTCATAAAAAACATTTTTCCTCATGAATTCTAAGTTTTTAATCTTTCTTGAAGAGACATTCTACACTTTAAGATTATAAATAATTTCTTCATCTTGTAATATATTAGAGTGTTTTGTTTTTTACTATTTAAAATCCTCACATATTATTTATTGAGGTGAGGTAAGATATGACTCTGAGAATTCTACTTTTCTATGGTATAATGAATTGTCCCAACAACATTTAAAAGATAGTACATACTCATTTCATCGTGTTAAAATGCCAGATTTGTAATTTGACATATTCTCCTATGCATATACATGTTTTTGGGCTCTCTCATCTCATCCATTAATCTACTGACTATTACTCAGTATTTTTCATTATATTTTTATATTTTATAATGCCTCATCACTTATCATTGTTGAAAGTGACCATGGTTTAACTACAATGTCAACAACAAACCATTATTTTTCTCAATACAAATTCATTAAATAAATATTATGGAATTTAAATATCATAGGTGTTGGAGACTCAGGAACTAAACAAGATATAAAAGTCCCTGCCTTCAAAGATTTTCATGCTAGTAGAAGAAAATGATTATAATTCTATTAACAAATAAGGACATAATTTAGATAATCTTAATTATAAGAAAAAATAGTTTACATCACTTATGTGCTCAGAGACTCTTTGAGAAGATTATGTTAGAGTTAAGATTTGAATGATTAGAAGAAGGCAACATGAAAATGTGTTAACAGAAACACTTTCCAAGAACTCAAAAATATAAAAAAAATCTGAGTCAAAAATAAGCTTAGTGTGTTCAAGGAAAAAACAGAAAACAAGTTTGACTGAAGTATAGCAAAAGAACCAATGAGTCATAAGAGATGGAATCAGAGAGTTAGACCTCTGATATCATATGAAGATATATCTTGCAGGCCTTGTAGACCTTGGTAGAAAGTGTGGATGCTCTTTGATTTACAATGGAAAGCTAGCTCAAGAGTGTTTGCAGTTAAATGGTGTGATAATTTTTACTCCTTGGGAAGATTACTTACACTTTTTATCAGATTAATTCCATGTGACTAGAAAAGAGAATGCAGGGAGAACAATCAGATGGTTGATATAATTATCAATGGAGGCATGGATGGTGTCTTGGACCAACATTGTAGCAGTGGAGATGAGAAAGGGTGAGGACTGGAACATATTTTGGAAAAACAGCAAGTAGGTAATAATGGTGCATGGGAAATAGAAAAAAAAGTAACAAGAAAATTCAAAAGACTCATTCATCCAATAATTTATTGAGTACCTATTATGTGTCTGATAGTCCTCTAGACATGGAAAAGAATGTATATTTTTCAAATAGGATTTGTATCTTACTCAAAGGAGCTAGAGAATACGTAAGTAAGCAAACAAATAACGTACAAAATGATGATAAGTGCTATGATGAATGAGAATTTGTATGTAGTGACATTTTGGGGGTTGCTGTTTTATGTAACATATACATTTTTTTTCACTAAAAAGTAGCACTTGAACAGATAATTGAGGAAAATGTGAGGCAAAGCCATGTGGAAACCTGAAGAACGTTTTAAACAGAATACAGCCAATGCAAGTTACCAAGATGTGATCAAGAAAAGGAAGTAGGTCAGTGTGCTTTGAGTGATATCTATAAGACATAAGAATGCTGGATGAAGTCAGATGTAGCAAATAAGCTTATATAGATTATATGTGAACCTGGGCTACTGCTCAGTCTTCTACATTGAAGATAAAATTTCCGTTTACTATAATGAAAAGAAGCAAATTTGGAAAAAATAAAATCAAAGCTCAATTTCAAATACACGAGTGGACCAATTTGAATTTTGAGTCCACAGCTAAGGGCCAAGCTAGAAATATAAATCAGGAGGTAATCAATGTATGAACTGCATTTTAACTCCATAGCCTGGGTGTGTTACTCTTCTAATGACAATACGTAGAAAAGAGAAAATCTTTCAGATTGGGCCTTGGAATATTGCAATATTTAGAATGTAGAAAGTCAAGAAAGAGTCAGCCAATAATTCTTAGAAGGTATTAACAATAAGTAAAGAATGTATCCAAGAAATAATGGCATTATAAGATTCTTACAACATTATCTTAAGGAAGAGAGACTGAATAAGTATGCAAACATTGAAGTAGGGAAAATAAATAAAGCAGAATAGTTGACCATTTTACTTATTAATGTGAAAGTTATTAGTGGCTGTGTCATAATATATAGTATTAGAATGGTGAGAATGATTGAAATTGATTCAGGTATGATTGAAATTTATTCAGGAGAGAATACAAAGAGAATAATTGGAAGCAAAAGCCAAGAAGAACTCATTGAAAAAAAAATATTCTGTAAGCAGGAGCAGTGGCATAGGTATTAGCAGTAGGAAGATATAACGGTGAAGAGAAAGTTTGATTTTGTTTTGCTCTATTTTGTTTTAAAGATGGGAGTTAATCCAATATGTTTGTATGCAGATAGAAATAATCCAGTAAGGAGAAGGTATTCATGATGCAGGAGAGAATGAGAAAAACTACTTATAATTCTTGAATAGGTGACCATATATAATAGTTTGCAATATTCATCTGAAATATCTGAATACAATTTAGATAATAGGGACACAGTGCAGGCACACTGACAAATGTGGCAGTAGTTGTGATTGTGGGGGACGTTTGTGGAAGTTCTCTTCTGATTGTTTTTATTCTCAGTGAATTGGGAAGTATGTTCATTAGCTTAGGTTGAGAAAGAAGAAAGAAGTCTTTGAGGTTAAATGAAATAATCAAAGGTACCAAAAGTATCTTTTAGAATAGTAGTAAAGTGGGTAAAATAACACTGTAGAATTATAGAGAAGTATTAAGAACTGATTTCAAATGAGAAGCCATAAATTTAAAGTGAGATTCATCAGAACAGTAATGTTATATAATTTTCTCTACCAGCTACATTCAACTGCTCAGATGAGGTCGTGAAGTGGACAAAGAATGGACTTAATTAGATTTTTACCGTTTAATTATGATAAAGGGAGACGTGAGCCAGGATGTTAAGGATAAAAAATTATTACAATGATAAGTAAGGAAACTGTAACATGAAATAAAGTGTAAAGGTGTTAGGGTCAATGAGATTTATGGTTTGGGGAATTAATAAGACACGTGGAAAGAAGAGAGTTGGGCTCGATATTGAAAATGTAGAAATGCATCATGTTTTGTAATAATGAAATCTAGTATGTGCCTATGAGTGTAAATAGCAGCGGTTTTGTAAAAATATGACCGTAGAAGAAAGGGGGAGGCATGATTATTGCAAAGAGTCCTTATAGAAACACGGAAATTATTAAGACTTATTAGAGGTATAGTCTTGAAGAGTGAGTGCCTAATGTAAGAGGAAGTAATCTGAGAATCTCTAAATAATTAAGAGGAGCAGTTGCAGTGGGTGGTGTCATCTGATGATAGCTTCAATGATAGGTGATGGTGGGTAATACTTAGGAAGACACAATGCTCTGGAAGTGAACAAGGTAGGTAAAATAAAATACATAACTGAAAATAAATAGAGAATATGGAAGGCATTATTAATCTCAAGGAGAAAATTGCAATGTATAGCCAAGAGGAAAGACTCTTTGAAATGACGAATTATAGTTGATGAAAGTTTATTCATAATACAGTTTAAACAACATAATACTTATGCAAAAAATATAATTCATAAAAATATGAGAATTATGAAACTAAATTTTCTGTTGGATTTATAGTATGTGTTTTATTTTGTATTCATTCCAGTGTAAATCCTGTAAACAAGAATTCTGTTACAGTGAGTATATACAGTTCAAAAGTTTTCTGGATACTGTTGGATAATCCAAAGATTAGCTCAATGGTCAAAATACATGAGAATAACATTATTGAGTTAATCTCCTTTACTTAGAGCCAACTGATTGCAGATATTAACTGCATGTATAAAATATAATCACAACACCTAGATTAGTAATTGGTTAAATAACTGGATACAGCAGCCTAGCCAAGTTGATAGGTAAAATGAGCCATTGTCACAAATTGCTAGTGAGATTGAGGGAAAATGCAGTTAGAAATTATTTTCAAAAATAGAAATTACCAAATAATGTTTACAACTTTAATAAGAACAGAATTTGCCATTGCCTTTTACAATTTTGGTCAACAATATATTAGCTACGAGATCAGATCAGTTATTTTAACAATCACCCTAAAATATTAGTAACTGAAAGCAAGATAGAAGCATATTGCCCATTGTCATGGTTAATTTAGTATGTCAGCTTGACTGGGTTAGGGGAAACCCAAATAGCTGGTGAGACATTATTTCTAGGTGTGTCTGTGAAGGTGTTTCCAGAAGAGATTAGCATTGATTCAGTAGACTGTAAAGAAGATCCACTCTCACCAATGTGGGTGGGTATTATCCAATCTGTTGAAGGCCAAGAAAGAGCAAAAAGTGGGAGGAAGGGTGAATTCACTTTTGCTTCTTGAGCTGGGACATCCATCTTTTCCATCCTGTTGACATTGGAGTTATTGGATGCTGGACCTTCAGACTTACATCAGTAGCCTCCTGCCTTCCCCCACTGTTGTCAGACCTTCTGCCTTCCACTGTGAGTTATGCCATTGACTAATCCTCAGAGTTTCAGACTCAGATTGAATTATACCACCAGCTTTCAGATGACATACTGGGGAACTTCTTGTCCTCCATAATTGTGTGAGCCAATTCCTATACTAAATCTCTTCTTTTATATCTATCTATATGTTTATCTTATTGGCTCTGTTTCTCTGAAGAATCCTCACTAACAGACCCTCTTATGTAACAAAATCAGGGCTGATAATACAATCTCTGTGAAATGTGTTAACAAGGCTCTGTTTACCTCGTTGCTCTGAAAAACCCAACACAAAGCTTCTAACTTCTGTTCTAAAATAGCTGTCTAGTTTCCTGTGTCAGATCCACGTTCCAGCTAGTAAGAATTAGAGCAAGAATTGGAAAAAGTGTAAAACATGCTACTTTTATGGAAATTGTGTGGGAATTATACTCATCCAATTTTTAAATACCTAATTACCCAGAATAGTTACATGACTACATTTACTTGTGAGGATAAATAATATAATCTCCAACTGAACAGAGACAGGCATAGGTAAAATTTGAATGCTCTGTTTGTATGGTAAAAGAAGAGAATAGATTTCGAGAGACAACTAGAATTACTGCTATAATTAGTTGGTTAAAATTAGAATACAATTGAAATGGTTAGATAAGACAAGGAGAGAAGGGGGAATTGAGATAGAGAGTTTGGATATTTTCCATAAAGGGCATAGCAGAGAAATCAGATGGTAGCTGAAGAAAGACACTGGGTCAAAAGAGAGTGTTCATTGTTATTGTTTTTGTTGCTTTTTAATTTGATATTTGTATATATTATTTGACATATCAGCATGCTGATGGGAATGATTCCAAGGCACAGAAGAAATTAATGCTCCAGGAGACAAAGGCAGTATGCAATAAAGAATTAACCTTAACCAAAGAAAGTTTTGGTCCCTTCCTCCCAGTTTCTGGAAGGCAACCTCGTAGTCCTAGGGATGTCTTGCCTGAGAGGATTGTCTTTGATTATCTGAGAACCTGGGGCTATGCCAGATAGTTTATGCTAACAATGTGATTTATGATGGGGGGATTAGGTTACGTGATATTAATGTGGCCTCTGGAGGCGCTGGAGAGTAAGTCAGCCTTCTGGGTAGTGGTCTATGCCTATGTGACCAACTCCCAATAAGTACTCTGAGTGCCAGACTTAGGTGTGATTCGCTGGTTGACAATACTCCATATGTTACTTCATGCATCAGAAAGAAATAAGCATTGTCCATACAAACCCACTGAGATACAGCTGGAAACATTACACCAGTCTCTCCTTATCCTGCCTCTTCCCTTAGCTGACTTTCATTTGTATCTTTTCACTGTAATAAACCATAACTACGGAGATAATGGTTTTTTGAGTTCTGTGAATTCTTCTAACAAATTATTGAGCTTGGAAGTGGTCTTGGGGACTTCCCAAGTGTGCAGTTCAGCTCCTGGCCAAATACTTTTCTATGATTTTTTTTTAGTTTGTACCAGGTGCAATACTAAGGCTTTATGTGGCAGACTTCATGGGGAAAAACTCCCCTTTCTCACTAGACCTGATGTATAGCTAGTGCATTGCAGTCTCTGAGGGGAGCTGTCAAGGATTTAGGGGTCTTTGGGCAGTCATAGTCTTATTTATATCTGCACTCCTGGTCTCGCTGCCTGAACCCTGAAGACACTCCTCAGCACTCTGACTCATCACCTAGTGTTTTCACACTCTTAGCCCTCCCACTTTTTTCTTCTCCTAGACCCCAGGTTTATAAAACTGCAAGAGCCTTCTCCTAAGCTAACCAATTCCAATCTCTTTGTTCTTCAAAGAAAGGAAAACATTGTGTAAGTAAAACATATAGACCTGTGACACAGAAGCATGGAAGATATAGTTTTTTATGTATTTGTTTCTTTTTAATTTTTTTGAGACAGAGTCTCACTATGTCACCCAGGCTGGAGTTCAGGGTCGCCATCTTGGCTCACTGCAGCCTCCGCCTCCTAGGCTCAAGCGATCCACCCACCTCAGCCATCACGTAGGGCTAAGTTTTTGTATTTTTGGTAAAGCCGGGGTTTCTCTATGTTGCCCAAACTGGTCTTGAGCTGCCGAACTCAAGCCATCCACCCTCCTTGGCCTTCCAAAGTGCTGGGATTACAAGTGAGCCACCACGCCAGCCTTTTTTTTTTTTTTTAAATCCTGTCTGCTTCTGTATAAACTGTGTATCTTAGAATGAGTCGTGCAATATTGCAATATTTCAGTGTCTAGCTTACCTACTTTGGAAATTTAGACCACTAACACTTAATGCACAACGTAAGAAGGATCATGAACCCAGTTACCTATTATTCATTTCATAAATGCAACACCAACCTATTATTCATTTCATAAATGCTTTGAGTGCCTATTGTATGTTCTTTATCTTCGCAGTAAATGGTGCATATTCTCTGATATTGCAGACCATACATTGTACTCGGAAGATGTATTAAATAAGTGATATTTTAGAAGATATATAAAGTTGCAATATGTGTTTTTAAAAGGCTCCATTAATGACTGGATTAAAAGTAATTTATTACTTTAATGAATTACCACCCAATATTCCCACAAGTTGATATTCCTGAATTCATTTTAACGATTTTCCTATGATTAAAAACGACTTTAATTTTTAGTATCATAAGTGATTCTCTGATAAACTTTACATACATAAAGGTTTCAAAGTGTTCATTATTTCCTTAAGAAAAAGGCACAAGTGTGGACTTGCCAACACAGAAATGTGAATGCTTGCTTTTTCACAATGCGAGGTTGCTTTCCAATTTCTATTCGAACCAGCATTACATCACAGTGTCAGTTTCTTTACACATTCTTTATGATTATAAAAAAGAAGATAATTTGCTTGTTGAAAAGTTAATTTGTCAATCTTCTTGAAGCATTTTGTATTTTATGATGGAAAATTTAAATATGCTAGTGAATTACTAATGTATATTCTTTAATATTTACTTGTTAGGTGTTTTCTTATTTGTAGAAGTTTTTAAATTAATAATATTTAATATGCTTGTCATATTTGTTTGCAATTTGTCTTTTATTTTTCCTTTGGTATTTTTAATTCATACTATTTTTAATAGCAATAACCTAGATATTAAAATATTGAAGCAAAGTCCATGGAAGGTACTGCTATTGACGTAATGTCAATTTGCTGACAGAAGCTAGCTGTAGACATGAACAGTGAAGGATGCAAGAAGCATTACTTGAGTGATTTAAGCAGAAGAAAAGTAATAGAACATTTAACAGAGCCTTTAGAAATATATAGGTTCTGAACAAGTGGAATAAGTAAAGGAATAAAGGAACAAATGTCAGTCAGAATAACAACAAATAAAAAGTTGTAGATGAATATAACATGCAAAGGAGATAAAAGTATGAATAGAGTCAACTCCAGGGAATAAATTGAAGCAGGGAAAAGGCCATATTATAGAGGCCTTATGAGAAAATTCAAAAGAGGTAATAATTATTAGGTTCTAATAAAATTTAAAAATTCATGGAAATTTTTGCAGATAAATTATTTGAAAAATATGTTGCTATTGAGAAGAATTGAAGTCTTGAGAACTAGAGGCAGATAAAAAGATCAATAGTCAGACATAGGTGATATTTGGACAGCTATAATTCACTATTATATACTCCAATGTTCAGTAACAGTTACATAGTTGTCCTTGCTGGACTATCTAAGATTTCCAAATATGCCTTTAAGTATGAAATAGTCATTTGTGAAATGTTCTTTTCATACATGTTTTTATTCATATTTTAAGACATGTGGAGAAGAAGATATTTTAACCAATTAGTAAACCTACCTCTTAGTTTTTACTCTTACATACAGATGGGAGGACAGGAACACAATGTTGCTCTGAAGTTGTTGGATAAGTTTATCTAAATACATAATTCAGAAAGGAAGACATTCTGCTAGACACAACTAACAGACCATTTTAATGTCAACCAAGAATGCACAGAATACAATTATGCTTTCACAATATGATTCAAGAGCTAGCAGGATAGGTTGCCTGCTTTTGGAAAAGTGCACAATTAATGGCTTGACATAATAGCATTCACAAAAAGCCCACAGAAAGAATTTTAATGTTGCAGATATTTTCAATGCATTATTAATATCAAAAGACATACAGAAAATATTAACATCGTATTCTGCTCCCTTGTATCAGAAATTAAAAGCATTTAATTTTACAGCAAGTAGTTAAAGCTATAAGAAAACACATTTACCTTTTGGGGAAAAAAGGAAGGAGGTCTTTTCCTTTTCAATTATTCTTTAATTTATATCAGTAACATGTTTGCTTGAAGTTTCTCAATGATATTCAGTTAATACAGTGTTCCACTTATGGTTTCTACATGTACCTAAAATTATAAAAATCTCTTTATACAACATTTTTCCTTGAAATTTCTCATTATTAATATTCCACTATTATGTAGATGCAAACATAGTATCTATATATGCATGCAATTAAAAATATGATGAATTAAGAACAATGTAATGAAACCACAATGAATCTAGAGAAACAGAGGTATTTTATGATCATGAACACGAAAAAAATCTTGTAGCTTTTGATGACTTCTAAATTTGTTTGCTAATCCAGCAGTAAGATGGTCGACCATTTAAGCCACTTAATGGACTGGTAATTACTTTTCCTATATCTATTAGAAAATTTCCTTAAGGCTTTCAAAATGTTTGGAATCAGGGAAGTCTTTATTATATAGTCTTCATTAAATAAGGTGGCTTCTCTCATTTCTAATCTCTTCCTTCCTCTCCTGCACAGGGCCACTCGATTTTCTTCTAAATATTGTCTCTGGCAAAATACATATCATTTGTACTTTCTTAATAAAACATGCCTTTATTTTACTGTTATTTTATATATAATATTGTTTTTATATGCAATTTTTGGAATTATTAAAAACTCCTTAATACATACCTGTAATTCCAAAAACATAAACATTTTGAAGTAGAATTTTATTGTCATTTTCTCCTAGGGTTAACAATTAAGCAATTAAGAAAAAACAATTTCTTCCACACTGACAGATTTAAACTTGTTGCTTGCTCAAGGGCAATGCTTCAAGAACAGTGGCCATTTTTTTTCACATGCACATTATGGATTGTCTCTATTTAAACTAGATGCCCAAAGTAATAAGTTACTTTCCATGTGTAGTGCTGCCATATTGTCAAATAGAATCTGACTTGGTAAAAACTAAATTGAAAAAAATTCTTTTCGACTTGTCACGTAGAGTCAAGATCAGAAAATGTTACTCAGGCTTCTGATGCTTTATGTTGAAGAGCATCCCCTTGAGTCTGCCACGTCACATTCAAGATACTGCTCCTTTAAGGCATTTTGACTTGAAGAAAATAAGCAGTGCGTTTTTTCACCTAAAAGCATAATATTTATATTAGCATGAAATGGGTTTTTTTCTTCAAGCATCAGAAACAATCTGTATTTCAGATTACTGCATGTGTCTTTTCCTTATATTTGTTTTTGAATTATTATTTGTGATTTTTGCCTTCAAACTGTTTTGTTGGTGTTACCTTTTTATACTTTTTACATATCAGCTAGACAGGGATAAGTTACCTTTAGTTATCCCTTGATTTGTAAAACAGTGCTTATGATGCTCACATACTATAGCCAGAGAGGTGGTTAACCATTTGATATCTATATTTATATCTATATATGTATAAGAAATATCTGTATCTGTATTTGTATAAGGAATATATGTGTGTGAATATATACTTATATAATCTTTTATATATATGCTATAAAAATAATAATTTCCTTGTCAATAATGTATATAAATAGGGATCAGAAATATGTATGTGTATATATATATATAAGTATACGAGTATATATATAAAATACATCTACATAAGAATTATATGTGTGTATATATATGTATAAGGAACATGTGTGTGTGTATATATATGTATAAGGAATATATGTGTGTGTGTATATATGTGTATATATGTATTGTATTGTATATACTACCATTGTATTGTATATACTTATATATATACACACATATATATACACATATATAAGTATATATATACACACATATATATAAGTATATATGTATACACATATATTCCTTATATACGTATATAAGGAGTGTGTGTATTACATATATACTTATATATACACACACACACACATACATATTTCCGATCCCTATTTATATACATTATTGACAAGGAAATTATTATTTTTATAGCAGTCAATTCACATCACATTTGGGGCCTTCCATGAAAAAATTGTTTGTTGACAGAGATTCAAATACAGGAACTAGAAATAACTGAACATAATATGACTATGTTGCCATTATGCAGATTGTTCCAGAGCACATCATAATGCTTCATTTGTACCATGCTGTAATTGGCACTTATGCATTCCTTTCTCTGAGAGCCCATTAGAAATACAATTATGCCAAAACACGATGATATATTTCAGCACCATGGAATTGAACCTCTGCCTTTTGCAATAGTCCCATGAGGTAAACGCAAGCTCTGTGAGCATAATATTTAACAAAGAAAATGTACAAGCTCACTCTACTATTGTAGTGTACAGCATCTGCTTCTCACCTTTGGATCAGTTTCTTTTTTAAAAGGCCCAAGTGCTGATACTTCCCCCTAGAAAGTGATCAGTCTGTTACTGATAAGATCATATTAGCAGCAGGGGCAGGCTTGTGATATTAACTGGCTTGTGATCTTATCTGCTCCAGATAATTATTTTGCAATGGAAAGCTAGCAGTAAGCAATAACATCAGCTACTGCTTATGCTAGGAAGAGGCTGTGTATTTTGTTCTCATTATGATGAGCCATTCTCCTTGTGTTGTTTTAGTGTCAGAGACGATTCTGACGCCAGCCATTTTGAAACTCTTCATAATACTAGCTGATTCACTTGACTAATAAAGATTAAGCACAACCAAAATGATTACAAATATGAAAAATAGGTATCTAAGGAAAGATTTGATGACTTCAGTTTCTATAATCAGATGCTGATAAAAGTCAATCACATGTTTGTGAGAATATTCTAGAATTGCTTATGCCTGCCTAATAGGATTCTTACTGTAATAATTCATTAAACTTAAAATATGCAGAAAATATAAATTGGTTTACTTTACATATTTAGGAAAAAAACACAAGTTATATTCTTTAAATGTGAGAAGATTCTTATCAGTAACACAAATGAAGACTTGTTTTATGGTAAATACAGAGCAGTTTTTCATCATTTCCTGTTGAGAATAGAACCTGAAAATTTGGCAGTAACGATTTAAGTGAGATGTAGAGAAGGGCTTTCTGACTACAGCTTATATCTTCATGTAGTAGATATTCAGAGGAGGTAAGTAATGCTTCAAAGAATCTCTTAATGCCCTTATCTCTGGTTAGTGTGGACTACGTTACGTAAAGCACTAAATCAAAAATATAAACAGTATAAATAGATTTCAAATGTTCCTGTTGGCCATGTGGTAAACAGGTTAAAAGCAAACCCTATGTTGATAGAAAAATAAAATAAAATTTATAAATTTGGAGTGATCTTTTTATAGCTGATTTATAATGAATTAATATAAAAGAAAATTGATATTTCAAAACAATGATTCCTTTTCATTAAGACAATACATAATTTTAAGTGTAGTTTATAGAAAATTCTGTTACAGTAAGTATAATTCTCCCTCAAGATTACCCCTCTTTTCTTTCTTAAATAGAAACAGGCGATTTGCATTAATTTTAATGGTTCAACTGCTTGATTTATCCCTGCATGAAATTGCATGCTTCAGTACCAAATACCTGCTGAAATAATAATTCATATAATCTCAAGATGTGTCAAGAAGTGACTTAAAGTAGAAGTAAAAAAATATGAACTGAAATTAATGATGATCTCCCACCACTTCCTGATGAATAGGAGAACAAGTTCATGTATTTCAACAGAGAGGGTCTGACTTTTCTCTCAGTGGTCTCAGGTGCCACTAGCCACGGTGGTATTATTACAAGTTCCTTTGGCACTGCTGGGTAGCACTGAATAGAACAACACTAAATCTGTCCATTAAGAAATAACAAGGACATACTATAGAATAAAATAACTTATTGCATTGCAGTAAACAATGGTGCCCAAATATGCTAAAGTAATTCATGTTGCATTTAAAAATGTAGTTTAAAGAAAAAATTACATTGATTTGAGCATATTAGAAAAATGACTATAAATATTCAAAAAGATATTCATTCACATAGAGCTAAAATTTTAGCATATTTTAAATATTCAGGGATGTAACAAAGTTTATATTGTTTCGGTTTTCTCCTCACTGTACTCTTCACATCAAAATTACCAACCTAACAACGCGTATAGATGTGTAGAGTGAGTTTTTCTCATAATTTTAGAACCAACAGTATCTTTAACTGTCACAAGAAGGGTTCTGCCAGAGTGTTTTAGTTGATTCTTATCCTCTATAGAGATATGTTGAAAGAATGCCAAGTAACGTCTCTCAAATTGGTTGTTGCATTCAATTTCTCTAGGAGAAAGTGCATAGAAACAAGATCCATCATCACATTGCCATTACTGCTCCGTTTTTGGGTAATCTCAACCAAAAGGAGACTGTAGACTATCAACTATTAAATTGCATCCACTGGCAGTTTGTGATATTTAAAAATAAAAAGCATGTGCTATGTTTCTTGTACTTATTTTCAGAGTATTTGAATTTTTGACATGGTTAGTTGTCAAATTTGTGAGCATTAAAATCACTTTAAAAGTTAAAAAGCAAGAAAAGTCATTATTCAAGCCCCAGAGAAATACCTCAGCTGACTAAGGATTGGGCATTTTGCCATCATGACAGATGGGTAAGAGTGTCAGCCACCAAGAGACATGTACATGTCAAGTGTGAATATTGATATCAGGATCTAAGAAGACTACTTCACTAGTGCCCTGTTATGATATGATACCCATACGGAACCCTCACATGCCAAAAACTATTATCAACCTATCAAACTGACTTCCTTCGAAAAATTAAGCAGTCTTTGAGATGATGTAAATGAAAGGATAATCATATCACTTTGATTAGTTGACATACAAATAACATGAAATTGTATATTAAAAGTCTGTACCTCTCTTTTCATTTTAAATGAAACTCCCATTTTGACAGATTTTTCATCCTCAGTTATTTTTTAAGTTAAGCACTTATTAGATATTGCAAATGTCACACTGGTAAAATCTTTAGGACTTTAAACAAAAAAAAAGTCTACTTGTCAGCTTTCTCATTAAATGGACTCAATGTGCGATTAAGGATATTATTTTTCACTTTTGATATGAGCACAATTCAATTGGTTATATCATTGCAATTCACATTATTCTTTCCCTTATCACATGTAAATGTATTCAGGATGCATTTGGTGGTGTGAAAAAGAAAAAAAAGGATAAAATGACATATAATTGTCAGTATAATAAAATGGATCTCCTTAACCAATTAATATTTTTTTGTTTCACATTTCAAATATAATTTTAGTTGGCATCTTATGTCTAAGCATATATATCTCACTACTAAATCATGAATAGGTCCACAATTAAACTAACTCTAAAATCTATCATAAGTCCTTATCAAGTCGATTCCTATGTGTTCATTTTTCATGGTTGTAATTTCTTAGACTCTCATAGGCCTAGAAAATTTTCAAAGCCAGTAAACAGCAACTAAATTTTGTATCAAGCTCAAGTGTAGGGATAGTTTTAAATTACTAAGTCAGCATTTATTTTCACTCAGGGATCTATTCATATGAGCTCCAAAATTCAACATGCTCACCAACCAAGTAAAGTTTGATTGTACCAGCTTTCCACACTTTTATGTTCCACCCAATGTCAGTGCAACTGTCTGATCACATCTGTTTATGAAAAACAAGCACCAACATTAATGTATGCATTAAGAAAACCAGGCAATTGTTAAACCTCTACAATCCAAGCATTTCTTTATTTCTATTTTTTTATTTTTTTGGTCATTAATATCATCTTTCAACACACCAAAATTTCTCTTAGTATTTATTTTGATTTGGTAATTACCTTTCACAATAAAATTAATTGATATAAATTATATTAGTCTGATTAATTTCTCTCCTTATTTCCCTATATTTATGCATTCCTTAATTCAATATAAAGTTATTTAATTCATAGAAGGTTAGGCACACTCATGGATACTAGAAACGCATCTGCAAGCAAAAGAAAGATCTTTGCCCTTATAAAGCTTATATTCTAACAGTAAGAGAAGGTAATAAAGTCATATGTTAAATTTTTAAATGTGGAATTAGATGGAGTATAGCCATCAATGAGAACAGCATTTTAGCAAATAATGATTTCTTCTTATTTTTTCATCCCTTTATGCCCCTTTGATACATTTTTGGATCATTCAGCAACTAATTATTTGCCTACATAAATCATGCCATCTCTCTCTCTCTCTCCCTCATTACCATTAGATTTTCATTTTTTTCACAATGTCTTATTCCCATTGCATGCAAACTATATATGCAAATGCTTATTTCCTTCTATGTAACAGCCATGTACACTTCATTTCTTATGAAATATGTTCTGCCCATCTTTTTATTTAGTTGTTGGTCTTTTATTTGTTACTACCACTTTTTTTAATCATAATATTAGCCCCCTGTTGTATGCCTTGCAAACTTTTTCCAGTTTGTTTTTAAAATTTATTTTCTTTCCAGTAATGTCATTGCTATGCATATAATTTTACTTTTCATGTTGTCATGTATATCAATCTGTTTCATTTGAATGTTTGTAAATGTATCTCTTGCTAAATATAGCCCTCCAAAGGCTGATAGATTGTTCTAATAATTTAGCGATTTCATTTTTATGTTTGTCTGATGCAGCTGAAATTTTTTTACCACACAGAGGAAGGTGAGAACCACGTTATTGACCTGGTAAATTTACACACCAGGTTGTCAAGCATTTTTTCAACAACGATATTTTGCAATTTTCTCCTAAATGTTTTGAAATTCTACCTTAACAATACATTTCCATTATGTATGTAGGTATCATTCTAAACTCGTCACTCTTTTTTCCCCGACTTTCTTGCCTGCAACCTATGTGCACAGTAACATACAGTTTTAATTACTGTTGTTCTACAATGTTTCTTAATAATGCGTGGAGGAGAAAATCTCTGCTTGGGGATATTTTTAATGAAAATTTGCTGGAACTTCTTGTACATTAACATGATGATATGAACTTTCTTTAGGTGTAATTTTCACGCAATAAAGTGCACATCTTTGGCATAGAGCTTGATGAGTTTTAGCTGATTTGTACAGCCCTATAACGACCATCAAAATCAAGATATAGAACACTGAAGTTACCACCAGAGTTTCTTTACGTTTCTTCTCTGTCATCCTGCCAATGCCAGGAGCACCACTGATCACCATTGTCACCGTAAACTAAATTTGTTTCCTCTAGAATTTCATATGATTGAAATTATACAGTTTACACTGTTTTGTTTCTGGCTACTTATATTCCACATAATGTTATGTATATATAATCACCAATCCACATGGTTGTGTGTATCTATAGTTTATTCCTTTTTGGATTAAGTAGTATTATATTACATGACTACATCAAAATTACATAAACTTTCATGTTGATGAAAAATTACTGGAATGTACTGTAATTATATGTTTAATTTGGTAATAAACTATCAAACAATTCTCCAGCAGTGCACAGTTTCACATTCACATCAACCATGGATGAGTGTTTCAGTTACTCTATATCATGGCCAGAGATTTTCAGTTTGTTAATATCAGCCATTTCTGTGAATATGTAGTGGTAGTTTCTTGTTTTAATTTGCATTTCCCTAGTAATTTAAAATGTTTCACAGATTTATGTCAATATTACCCATTTTGGAGATTTTCTTTTGTGAGATGTCTTTTCAAATTGTTTTCCTATCTTGATTTGGTAATCATAAGCATTCTTCTTTTATTTTTGATATTAATAAGAATATTAGCCACACCCTAAATTTAATATTGGGGCATGAGGTCTGTAGATCATAATCTTCTTCAACTGTCAATGTTTTGTCTATCTGAGTTTTTTTTTTGGTGTCTGTATTTTATGTATTTGAACTTCACTATCATTTTATCATTTTGTTTTATTAGTAAGTAAGCTTTTTATTGAATTTTTGGTGGTGGTGATGTTTATTTTTTAATTCTGAGAAGTACTTTTTATTACTATACATATTTCATTGTAAAATTCACAAGTGTAAAAAATGGTTCTAAAGACAGTAAACTTTAATGACCACAGCATGTACCAGTCATATAATTTCGAGCAAATTATGTCACCCGTTCTTAGTTTCTTAGCTTTTTCTTCAATTAAATAAGATGGAAAACACGGCTTACATCATGTGATTGTTGCCAAGATTGAATAAGTATTTTTGCAAAGGATTTGAAAGACTATAATAGTATCAAATAGTCATTTATTGTTTTAGGATTTGTCATGGATTGCTTGGTAGGAATAGCTCAAACTACAATTGTTGAGTTTTATTTTGTTTGCACCACTCTTGTATTGCTTTGCCCATTATCTTTTTAAAATTTTTTCTGATTCACTATTCTTTATATTTTTAATATAAGATGTTATTAGATTTTCCTTTGTGAGAAAATCTTTTGTATCAATATATCAGTTTATTATTACATTTACATTTATTGCTTCATCAGGTATACTTTTCTCGACTCTTCCTTAGCTTAGTTTACATCCTGCTTTTCTTTAAAATACTTAAAAAAAAACTTCTTATTTGATCTATGACCTTTATTTTTCTTGTTATAGATTATCATGTTATTTCTGATCTACCAGAAGTTTTATAGCCAGACTTTAATATATTTTCTTGTATATACAATTTTAACTTTATACAATATACTGAATATACTGTAGACCATTTCCGTTTCCTCCTTTCTTTTGGTTATAATGACTTTGTATATATCTAACTTTTCATACCTCCAACATTTTTTCTTCTTAACTAATCACATTTGTCTTTTTATATTATGTTCTTGGATATTTTTATGGCTGTTTTTACATTTTAAATGTTTTTATACATCTATCTGTTGATTTATCAAATTTAAGTAATATTTTTTCTCACTACAAAAGAAATAGAAATCAATATATTTGAAATGCTTTCAATATCTTTACACTTCTTAATTTTCTAAATTTGCAGTATTGTTCCATTTCTATGTAGTCACAGTTTATGATACATTTAATTGAACTCCGTGTGCACTGTCGATTGTCTAGATATGGAATCATATTATTTGAGAAGAGAAATAGCTTGACTTTCTCCCTTCTTATTTGGAAACCTTTTATTTCTCTCTCTTACTTGATCATTCCAACTACGACTTCCAGTACTGAACCAACCCAAATGTCCAACAATGATAGACTGAAATAAGAAAATGTGGCACATACACACCATGGAATACTGTGCAGCCATAAAAAATGATGAGTTCATGTCCTTTGTAGGGACATGGATGAAGCTGGAAACCATCATTCTCAGCAAACTATTGCAAGGACAAAAAACCAAACACCACACGTTCTTACTCATAGGTGGGAACTGAACAATGAGAACACATGGACACAGGAAGGGGAACATCACACACCGGGGCCTGTTGTGGGGTAGGGGGAGGTGGGAGGGATAGCATTAGGAGATATACTTAATGCTAAATGACGAGTTAATGGGTGCAGCACACCAACATGGCACATGTATACATATGTAACAAACCTGCACGTTGTGCACATGTACCCTAAAACTTAAAGTATAATAATAATAATAATGATAATAATAATAATAATGAATAAATAAAATGAAAAAAAAAAGAAAAGGAGTGGTGGGGGTGGGCATTCTTGTCTTGTTCCAGTTCTCAAGGTTAATGCTTCCAGCGTTTGCCCATTCAGTATGATGTTGGCAGTGGGTTTTTCATATATGGCTCTTGTTACTTTGGTGTATTTTCCTTCAATGCCTAATTTGTTGAGCGTTTTTAATATAAATGGTGTTGAATTTTACTGATGGCCTTTTCTGCAGCTAGTGAGATGATTGTGTAGTTTTTGTTGTTAATTTTGCTTATATGGTAAATCACATTTATTTATTCACATATGTTGAACTAGCCTTGCATCCCAGGTATAATGCCTAATTGATTGTGGTGAATTAGCTTTTTGATGTGCTGCTGGATTCAGTTTGCTAATATTTTGTTGAGGATTTTTGTGTCTATGTTCATCAGAGATATTCTCCTGAAATTTTCTTTCTTTGCTTTGTCTCTGCCAGGCTTTGGTGTCAGAATGATTATGGCTTTGTAAAATGAGTTACAGAGGAGTCCCTCTTCCTCGATATTTTGAAATAATTTGAGTAGGATTGATACTAGTTCCTCTTTGTATGTCTGGTTGAATTCAGCTGTGAATCCATCTGGCTTAAGGCATTTTTTGGTTGGTAGGCTTTTTATTACTAATTCAATTTGGTGACGTGTTAGTGATCTGTTAAGTATTTTAATTTCTTCTTGTTTCAATGTTAGGAGGCGTGTGTTTCCAGGAATTTATCCGTTTTTTTCTAGGTTTTCCAGTTTATGTTAAGTAGAGGAGCTCATAACAGTCTCTGAGGTTTTTTTGTAATTCTGCAGGATTGATTGTAATGTCAACTTTGTCATTTCTGATTGTGTTTATTTGGATCTTCTCCCATTTTTTCTTTTTCAACCTAGTGAGTAGTCTATTAATCTTGTTTAATTTTTTGAAGAACCAACTTTCAGTTTCACTGATCTCTTGTATGGATTTTTATTTCTAAATATTCAGTTCAGCTCTGATTTTGGTTATTTATTTATTCTGCTACTTTTAGGGTTAGCTTGCTCTTGTTTTTCTAGTTCCTTAAGGTGCTACAATAGGTTGTTAACTGAGATCTCTCTAACTTGTTGATGTAGGCATTTATCGCTGTAAACCTTCCTGTTAATATGGCTTTAGCTGTGCCCCAAAGATTCTGTTATTTGCCTTTCTGTTTTCATTAGTTTCAAATAATTTTTTGATTTCTGCCTCAATTTCATTCTTTACACAAAGTCATTTAGGAGAAGATTATTTAACTTTAATGTAATTGTATGATTTTATAGCTCTCCTTGGTATTGATTCCTATTTTTATTGCACTGTGATCTGACAGTATGGTTGGTATGACTTTGATTTTTTTAAAATTCACTTTGTGTTGCTTCATGGCTGAGCATGTGTTGAACCTCAGAGTATGTGCCATGTGACAATGAGAAGAATGTATACTCTGTTGTTGTTGGGTGAATTTTTCTGTAGTTATCTATTAGGTCCAATCGGTCAAGTGTGGAGTTTAAGTCCAGAATACCTTTGTTAGTTTTCTGCCTCAGTATGGAGTGTTGAAGTCCCCGGGTATTATTGTGTGATTATCTGTCTCTTCATAGATCTATAAAACTTGATCCTTGTTGGTGTAAAGTGTTTCATTTGATATAATAATCATTACTCATTTTTGTTTTTTGTTTTTTGATAGATCTTTTTCCATCTCTTTATTTTGAGCCTATGGGTTGTCATTACTTGTAAGATGGATCTCTTGGAAATAGCAGACAGTGGGAGTTGGTTCTTTATCCAACTTGTCACTGTATGACTTTCTAGTGAGGCATTTAGACTATTTACATTTGTGGTCAATATTGATATGCAGGGGTCCGTCCCACAGACTGTGACCCAATGACGAATGAATAACATACACTGACACAGATATTCTGCCTGTCAGTCCAGCTAAGTGTCCGGGTCCCTCACAGACACCAAGGAAGGTGCTGTAAAGTGTAGCAGCCAAGGTCCATTCAGCCATCAAAGCTCACATTTATTCAGTATAGATTAAATGACAAACATCTTGAGTAAACTCCACTAGAGGGTAATTGACCTGGTTGCCGACCACCACCCCCGCCACCCCACCCCCACTCCCCCCCACCCCCACTCACCACCCAGTAGAGAGCAATTATGCACCCACGGTTGATCAAAGGTTGGTCTTAGCTTGAGTAAATAGGCTATTTAGATAAACTACTCTACATTCCTTTGTACCTACTTTAAGCTATTTACTCAAGGTAAGGATTAGGCTGCTTTCAGCCATAACCCTATCCTGAGACTTTTGCAAAACCTTCTGGCCTTCCAAGAAGATTTGTGTCTATATCCTATAACTTCATCTTAAAATTTTTCCCACCAACCTGACTGAACTCCCACATTGATAAGTGAGAATTTGATCCTGTCATCATTCTGTTAGTTGGTTGTTATGTAGACTTGATTGTATAGTTGCTTTACAGTACTAGGGTAGGTGCTTAAGTGTTCTTTTGTGGCAGCAGATACCATTCTTTCATTTCTATGTTAAAAACTCCCTTTAGTAGCTCTGGTAAGGCAGGTCACTTGGTTTTTGCTTGTCTGAAAAGGATTTTATTTCTCCTGTGCTTAAGAAGCTTAGCTTTGTAGGATATCAAATTATTGATTGGAATTTATTTCCTTCAAAGATGGTGAATGTAGACCCCCAATCACTTCTGGCTTGTAAGATTTCTGTTGAATGGTCCACTGTTAGTCTGATGGGGTTCCCTTTGTCAGTGAACTCTTCCTCTCTAGCTCCCTTAAAGATTTATTCTTTCATGTTGACCTTGGAGAATCTGATGATTAAGTGCCTTGGGGATGGTAATCTTGCATAGTATCTCACAAGAGTTCTCTGAATTTCTTGAATTTGCATGTCGAACTCTCTAGCAAAATTGGGAATATTTTCGTGGATTAGATCTTCAAATATATTTTCTAAGTTGGTTGTTTTGTCTCTGCTCTCTCTGAAATGCCAGTAAGTCATAGATTTTTGTCTCTTTATATAATCCCATGTTTCTCAAAGGTTTTGTTCATTTTCTTTAAAAAAATATTTTTTTTATTTCAATAGCTTTTGGGGGAACAGGTGGTGTTTGGTTACATGAATAAGTTATTTAGTAGTTATTTCTGAGATTTTGGTGCACCCATCACTGTACCCAATGTAGAGTCTTTTATCCTCCCCAACCCCGCCACCCTTTACCCTGAGTATGCAAAGTCCATTGTATCATTCTTATGCATTTGCATCCTCATAGCTTAGCTCCCACTTATAAAGTGGCGACATATGATGTTTAGTTTTCCATTCCTGAGTTACTTCACTTAGAATAATAGTTTCCAATTCCATCCAGGTTGCTGTGAATGCTATTATTTTGTTCCTTTTTATGGCTGAGTAGTATTCCATGGTGTATGTATACATATATAATCACATTTTCTTTATCCACATGTTGATTGATGGGCATTTAGACTGGTTCCATATTTTTGCAATTGTGAAAGGTGTTGCTATAAATATGCATGTGCAAGTATGTTTTCTGTACAATGACTTATTTTCTTCTGGGTAAATACTCAGGAGTGGCATTTCTGGATCAAATGGTAGATGTACTTTTATTTCTTTAAGGACTCTCCACACTTTTTCCATAGTGGTTGTACTAGTTTACATTCCCACCAGCAAGATTATAGTGTTCTCTTTTGATCACATCCATGCCAACATCTATTATTTTATTTTATTTTTTTATTATGGTCATTCTTGCAGGAGTGAGGTGGTATCACATTGTGGTTTTGTTTTGCATTTCCCTGATCATTAGTGATATTGAGCGTTTTTCATATGTTTGTTGGCCATTTGTATATTTTCTTTTTTTAAATAAAATTGTGGTTTATTTAAACAATGAAGCACATACAGCAGTGAAATGAATAATTTATTGTTACATGGGCCAACATGGATGAATCTCAGAAACATAATGTTAACTGAAAAAGCAAGTCATAAAAGAAAACATAAAATGATCTTTTATATGAAATTCAAAAACAGGCAAAACTAGGTATTATTTAAGGATACAAACATAGCTAAAAAGTTAAATAGAAGCAAGAAACTACAAAATTTAGGGCAGTGGTATTTTTGTATAGAGGAAGTGCTGTGTGTATTGGGAAAGGCTTCTAAGGTAATATGATATTGAGTACCTGGGTAGCTATGTCATTATTTTTTCCTCTTTTTTCCTGACACTATCCACATGGAAATAAATGTCATTATTTTAATTGCTTTTATATGTATAGCACCTTAAGTTTTTAAATTAAAGCTTTTTATTGAGGTGAGATTCACATAACCATAAAACTAATCATTTTATTTTTTTCCCATAAGTTATTGGGGGTACAGGTTGCATTTGGTTACATGAGTAAGTTCTTTAGCGGTGATTTGTGATATTTTGGTGCACCCTACCTTACTGCACCATATTTGTAGTCTTTTATCCCTCACCACCCTCCCACTCTCCCACCCAAGTCCCCAAAGTCCGTTGTATTGTCCTTATTCCTTTGCATCCTCATAGCTTAGCTGCCACATATCAGTGAAAACATACGATGTTTGATTTTCCATTCCTTAGTTACTTCACTTAGAATAATAGTCTCCAATCTCATCTGGGTCACTGCAAATGCTGTTAATTCATTCTTTGTTATGACTGCATAGTATTCCATTGTATATATATACCAAGGTTCCTTTATCCACTCATTGATTGATGGGCATATGGGTTGGTTCAATGATTTTCCTATTGTGAATTGTGCCACTATAAACATGGGTGTACAAGTATCTTTTTCAAATAATGACTTCTTTTCCTCTTGGTAAATACCCAGTATTGGGATTGCTGGATTAAGTGGTAGTTCCACTTTTAGTTTTTTAAGGAATCTCCACACTGTTTTTTATAGTGGCTGTACTAATTTACATTTCCACCAGCAGTGTAGAAGTGTTCCCTGATCACTGCATCCACGCCAACATCTACTGTTTTTTGATTTTTTGATTATGGCCATTCTTAAAGGAGTAAGGTGGTATCACATTGTGGTTTTGTTTTTTGTTTTTGTTTTTGTTTTTTTGAGGCAGAGTTTTGCTATTTTTGCCCAGGGTGGAGTGCAATCGCCTCCCGGGTTCAAACAATTCTCCTGCCTCAGCCTCCCCAGTAGCTGGGATTACAGGCATGTCCCACCACACCCGGCTAATTTTGTATTTTTAGTAGAGATGGGGTTTCATCATGTTGGCCAGGCTGGTCTCAAATTCCCAACCTCAGGTGATCCACCTGCCTCGGTCTCCCAAAGTGCTGGACTTACAGGCGTGAGCCACTGCTTCCGGTGCCACATTGTGGTTTTGATTTGCATTTCCCTGATCATTAGTGGTGTTGAGCATTTTTTTTATGTGTTTGTTGGCCATTTGTATATCTTCTTTTGCAGATTGTCTGTTCGTGTCCTTAGCCAACTTTTGGATGAGATGTTTTTTTTCTTACCGATTTGTTTGAGTTTGTTGTAGACTCTGGATATTAGTCCTTTCTCAGATGTATAGATTGTGAAGATTTTCTACCCTTCTTTGGGTTGTTTGTTTACTCTGCTGACTGCTGCTTTTGCCATGCAAAAGCTCTTTAGTTTAATTAGGTCCTAGCTTTTTACCTTTGTTTTTGTTGCATTTGCTTTTGGGTTCTTAGTCATGAAATCCTTGCCTAAGCCAATGTCTAGAAGGCTGTTTCCAATGTTATTGTCTAGAATTTTTATAGTTTCAAGTCTTAGGTTTCAGTCCTTAATCCATCTTGAGTTGATTTTTGTATATGGTGAGAGATGAGGGACCAGTTTCATTCTTCTACATGTGGCTAGCCAATTATCCTAGCACCATTTGTTGAAAAGAGTGTCCTTTTCCCACTTTATGTATTTGTTTGCTTTATCAAAGATCAATTGACTGTAAGTATTTAGGTTTATTTCTGGGTTCTCTATTCTGTTCCATTGGCCTATGTGCCTATTTTTATATCAGTATCATGCTATTTTGGTGACTATGGCCCTATGGGATAGTTTGAAATCAGATAATGTGATGCCTCCAGATTTTTTGTTTGTTTGTTTGTTTTTTTGTTTAGTCTTGCTTTGGCTATGCAGGCTCTTTTTTGGTTCCATATAAATTTTAGAATTGTTTTTCCTAATTCTGTGAAGAATGATGGTGGTATTTTGATGGGGATTGCATTGAATTTGTAGATTACTTTTGGCAGTTTAGTCATTTTCACAATATTGACTCTACCCATCCATGAGCATGGGATGTGTTTCCATTTGTTTGTGTCATCTATGATTTCTTTCAGCAGTGTTTTGTAGTTTCCCCTTGTAGAGGTCTTTCATCTCCTTGGTTAGGCATATTCCTAAGTATTTTAATTTTTTTGCAGCTATTGTGAAAGGGGTTGAGTTCTTGATGTGATTCTCAGCTTGGTCCTTGTTCTTATATAGAAGAGCTACTGATTTGTGTACATTAGTCTTGTATCCAGAAACTGCTGAATTTGTTTATCAGTTCTAAAAGCTTTCTGGAGGTGTCCTTAGGGTTTTCAAGGTAAACAATCATATCATCAGCAGACAGTGACACTTTGACTTCCTTTTTAATGATTTGGATGCCCTTTATTTCTTTCTCTTGTCTGATTGCTCTGGCTAGGACTTCCAGTACTATGTTGAAGAGGAGTGGTGAGAGTGGACATCCTTGTCTTGTTCCAGTTCTCAGAGGGAATGCTTTCAACTTTTCCCCATTTAGTATTATGTTGTCTGTGGGTTTGTCACAGGTGACTTTTATTACACTAAGTTATGTCCCTTGTATGTCTGTTTTGCTGAGAGTTTTAATCATAGAGCGATGCTGGATTTTGTCAAATGCTTTTTCCGCATCTATTGAGACTATCATGTGATTTTTGCTTTTAATTCTGTTTATGTGGTGTGTCACATTTACTGACTTGCATATGTTAAACCATCCCTGTATCCCTGGCATGAAACCCACTTGATCATGGTGGCTTATATTTTTGATATGTCATTGGATTTTGTGACTCAGCAGAGACAGCCATAATCATTCTAGGTACACAACTCCAGTTACCTAATGTGGGAATCTCACCCCCATCCCACACAGCAGCAGGAGCAAGACCAGCCCAAGGAGAGTCTGAGCTAAGACACGCTTAGCCCATATGGAGGAAAGATACAGTTGTTTTCAGACAAACAAGTGCTGAGAGAACTCACCATTACCATACCACCACTACAAGAACTGCTAAAAGGAGCTCTAAATATTGAAGCAAATCCTATAAACACATCAAAACAGAACCTCTTTAAAGCATAAATCACACAAGACCTATAAAATAAAATACATGTTAAAAAGCAAGAACAAAACAAAACAAAAAACAAAAAAAAAGTACACAGGCAACAAAAAGCATGATGAATGCAATAGTACCTCACATTTCATACTAACATTGCATGTAAATGGCCTAAATGCACGGCTAAAACTACAGAACTGCAGAATGGATAAAAGTTCACCAACCATCTGTTATCTTCAGGAGACTCACCTAACATGTAAGAACTCACATAAACTTAAAGTAAAGGGGTGGAAAAAGGCATTTCATACAAATGGACACCAAATGCAAGGAGAGGTAGCTATTCTTAGACAAAACAATTTTAAAAGCAACAGCAGTTAAAAGAGACAAAGAGGGACATTATATAATGGTAAAAGGCCTTGTCCAACAAGAAAAAATCACAATCATAAACATATATGCACGTAACACTGGAGCTCCCAAATTCATAAAACTATTACTAATAGACCTAAGAAATGAGATAGCAACACAATAATAGTGAGGGACTTCAATGCTCCACTGTATATTTTCTTTTGAGAATTGTTTATTCATGTCTTTAGCCTTTTTGATGGGATCGTTTGTCTTACTGATTTATTTGAGTTCTTTGTAGATTCTGGATATTAGTCCTTTGTTGGATATATAGACTGCAAAGATTTTCTCCCACTTTGTGGGTTATCTGTTTACCCTGCTGATTGTTTCTTTTGCTCACAGAAGCTTTTTAGTGTAATTAAACCCCATCTATTTGTTTTTGTTTTTGTTGAATTTGCTTTTGGGGTCTTGGTCATGAAGTCTTTGCCTAAGCCAATGTCTAGAACGGTTTTACCAATGTTATCTTCTATAATTTTTATGGTTTCAGATCTTAGATTTAAGCCTTTGATCCATCTTGACTTGACTTTTGTATAAGGTGAGAGATGAGGATCCAGTTTCATTCTTCTACATGTGGCTTGCCAGTTATCCCAGCAACATTTGTTGAATAGAGTATCCTTTCCTCACTTTACGTTTTTGTTTGCTTTGCTGAAGATCAGTTGGCTGTAAGCATTTGGCATTCTTTCTGGGTTTTCTATTATGTTCCGTTGGTCTATGTGCCTATTTTTATACCAGTACCATGCTGTTTTGGTGACTATGGGCTTATAGTTTGAAGCTGTGTAATTGGGTAATGTGATGCCTCCAGATTTATTCTTTTTGCTTAGTCTTGCTTTGGCTTTGCGGGTTCTTTTTTGGTTCCATATGAATTTTAGAAATGCTTTTTCTAATTTTGTGAAGAATTATGGCAGTATTTTTAAGGGGATTGCATTGAATTTGTAGATTGCTTTTGGCAGTATTGTCATTTCAAAATATTGATTCTACCCATCCATGGGCATGGGATGTGTTTCTATTTGTTTATGTCATCTATGATTTCTTTCAGCAGTGTTTTGTAGTTTTCCTTGTAGAGGTCTTTCCCCTCCTTGGTTAGGTATATTTCTAAACATTTCATTTTTTTGCAGCTATTGTAAAAAGGGTTGAGTTCTTGATTTGATTCTCAGCTTTGTCGTTGTTGATGTATAGCAGTGCTACTGATTTGTGTACATTAATTTTGTTTGAATTTGTTTATCAGTTCTAGGAGCTTTTTGGATGAGTTTTTAGGGTTTTCTTGGTATACAGTCATATCATCAGCAAACAGCAACAGTTTCACTTCCTCTTTACCTCTTTCTTTTTACAGTTTACTTCCTTTCTACCATCTGAATACATATATGGATGCCCTTTATTTCTTTCTCTTGTTTGATTGCTCTGGCAAGGACTTCCAGTACTATGTTAAATAGAAGGGTGAAAGTGGGTATCCTTGTCTTGTTTTTATCTTTTCCCTGTTCAGTATAAGGTTGACTGTGGGTTTGTCATAGATGGTTTATTACATTAAGGTGTGCTCCTTCTATGCTGATTTTGCCGAGGCTTTTTTTTTTTTTTTTTCTTCTTGAGATGGAGTTTCACTCTGTCACCAAGCTGGAGTGCAGTGGAGCTATCTCAGCTCACTGCAAGCTCCGCCTTCTGGGTTCACGCCATTCTCCTACCTCAGTCTCCTGAGTAGCTGGGACTACAGGTGCCTGCTAACACTCCTGGCTAATTTTTTGTATTTTTAATAGAGACGGGGTTTCACCATCTTAGCCAGGATGGTCTCCATCTCCTGACCTCATGATCCGCCTGCCTCGGCCACCCAAAGAGGCTTTTACTCATTAGGGGATGCTGGATTTTTGTCAAATGCTTTTTCTGTGTCTATTGAGATGATCATGTGATTTTTGTTTTTAATTCTGTTTATGTGGTGTAACACATTTATTGACTTGCGTATGTTAAACCATCCCTGCATCCCTGGTATGAAACACACTGGATCATGGTGGATTATCTTTTTGATATGCTGTTGGATTCAGTTAGCTAGTAGTTTGTTGAATATTTTTGCATCTACGTTCGTAATGGATATTGTTCTGTAATTTTGTTTTTTTTCCTTATATCTTTTCCTGGTTTGGGTATTAGGGTGATACTAGCTTCAGAGAATGATTTAGGGAGGATTCCCTCTTTCTCTATCATGTTGAATAGTGTCAAAAGGATTGGTACCAATTTTTTAAATGTCTGATAGAATTCAGCTGTGAATTCATCTGGTCCTGAACTTTTTTTTGTTAGCAATTTTTTAATTACCATTTCAATCTTGCTGCTCATTATTTTCTGTTCAGAGTTTTTATTTCTTCCTGGTTTAATCTATCAGAAATGTATTTATCTCCTCTAGGCATTTTAGTTTATGTGCATAAAGGTGTTCTTAGTAGCCTAGAATGATCTTTTGTATTTCTGTGGTATCAGTTTTAGTATCTCCCATTTCATTTCTAATTGAGCTTATTTGGGTCTTTTTTTCTTGGCTAATCTTCCTAATGGTATATCAATTTTATTTATCTTTTCAAACAGCTAGCTTTTTGTTTCATTTATCTTTTCTATTGTTTTGTATGTCCCAGCATCTGGGTCATCTCTCTAACCTCTCTCAGTGTATTCTCTCAGATGGTCTGTTTGGGTTATGCCAGTTACTAAGTATTCAGGTCTGTCTCGGTTGTAGAAGTTCTTCCTGGCTGTGTGTAGTTGGCCATTTTGGAATGTATCTAAAGTATTTTTAAATGTGGATGTGGATTTGTGTCTTTATTTTCAAGGGTCTAAATGCTTTAAGAAATAAAATTTCTGAATTTAAAGTGTTAGATTTTTCTTCTCCAAAAATCAATGATAAAATTATCAATAAACAGATGAGTTAGGACTAATTTTTGCTTGTTGATGATAATTTCATAATGTATTAATCACTTCAATTCCATCTTACTAGAAAATTATCACAAATTGTGTTAGTCAACATATTTTGGTAAATCTTAGTTCACAGTTCAAGGTTTATGTCTTAAAAGTCAAAATGTAATGCACTGGATGTAATCTCCAACTTCTGTTTGGCACTCAGTAGTTTGATCCATATGGAAAAGAAAGGAATTATTTATACCTCTTTTTTTCTAGAGTGGGACATTATTTATTATACATTTTATTTAATCATTTTAGTAGTAATTAATATAGACTATATAGCACATAGAAAAACCCGACTTTCTTGACATTGGTTCAACAATTACACAATGAAAGTGATTTAGAATAATAATCTGGATTTTATATATGACATTGAGATATGTATGTCCAAACTTAACAAAATATAACAAGTTCAGTGTTTTATATATACATATGCTTTTCAGTTTTAAGCTATGAGCATTTAAAATGCATATTTCAAAGCATATTTCTCATATTATTTTTCTCAGATGAATGATTTTATCAACTAGTGTAACAATTTTTACATAAAAAGAAAAAAATCTGAAAAAGTAACTGAACTCCTAATTCCTGGGCAAAATAATCGTGTGATATGAATGCTAAATGTACATGTGATATGAATGTTAAAGCAGGAGAAGTAGATAGAAGAAATACCAGAAACACATATTAGATTAGCTTGAATTAATGTTAAATAATTGATAGTCTGTCTTAGATAAAGAATGTTGAGACATAAATGGTTAATATTAAAGGTAATTAAATTTCATTTATATAAGTTTCATAAATTTGAAAGTAATAATATCTGAATCAAAGATCAAGGATATTGTAATATTGCTCATAAAGTGATTAAATTCTGACAAAATTAGTGTAAATGTGTGTTGGTTAAATATGAAAGTTATGAACAGGATCTAGAGGATAGCTCTTCAATCAGGAAATTAAAACTTCCAGGTTTGATGAATAATGTTTGCAATTTAAAATTACATGAAATGCTAAGGCAGAAATTAGAAAAACTCATAAAAATCAAAGTATCAAATACTCTTCTTTGTATATTTCTATGTTAATGGGACATCTTTAATAAAATATCTTACAGTTCTCATATTGGCTAATAAATGGAGTAGGCAGGAGAAAGACAGACAGGATGACAAAGAGGAGATTAGAGCAAGTTGAGACTTTTATTTCATTTGGATTCAGTTGTGTTAAACTAGCACACACTGGTCCCATGCTGAATTATTTACTTTTTTAAGTATTCAAATAAAAATATTGACCCT
The DNA here is from genome assembly GCF_000001405.40 of Homo sapiens. NCBI lineage: Eukaryota > Metazoa > Chordata > Mammalia > Primates > Hominidae > Homo > Homo sapiens. The sequence goes on along the minus strand of NC_000004.12, from coordinate 134,737,603 downwards.
CATGTTCAAGGCTGTTAGAGGTAAGATTCAGACAACATAAACTGAATAGAGAAAAAGAGCAATTACAAGTGGTCAAATTTCTTGGACTATTACAAGAATTGCTTCCAAATAATTACATACACTTTAACTCCATTTATATTTGAGATGATTGAAAATAATGACATGTAATTACAATCTATCCACCAAAACCCCATTCTATTGTGACATTAAGAGCTTGTCTTTTCTTGATAATCTAATAGAAGTAATAAAAAGTAACATGCTAGAATAATTTTCCAGACAGAGAACAGAGACAAAAACTTCAGCATATTATTCTTTTGTTTACTACCCTATCAGGGCATATAAATTATATCTTGGAAGAGAGTGGCCACACCTTTGTAGAATCAGGTTGTGGAAATAATAGATACAGGATAGTAATCCAGATTCTTTCTTATTTGGATGCCTTTTAATTATTTTTCTCACTTTTTTGTATTGACTAGAATCTCCGGTAAAATATAAATAAAAGTGATCACAGTAAAACACCATTTCTTCCATATTGCAAGAGTAAAGCATTAAGTTTTTCCTGTCAGGTATACCGTTTTTTTATTTCGTAGATGCCCTTTATCAGGTTGAGATCATCCTTATGTTTTTTTTTTCATTTTTTTTCTTGTATTTTGAGGATTTCTATCAGAAATGGGTATAGGTTTTGTCAAATCTTTTGTATCTATTTATTGAGATGGTCTTATAGTCTTGCTTTTAAAATTTAATACAGTGAATTAATTGATTTTATAAGGGTTAACCCAGCTTGGAGAAACCACCTTTCGGTAACCATGTGTTGTTATGTTTGGTATTGGTGGAGTCAATTTGCTACATTTCTATGTGGAATTTTTATAGTTTTTTCATGAGCAATACTGTGTTGTAAGTTTTATTTCCTTTAGTGTCATGCTTTTATACTATTGGTGTCAGGGTATTCCTGGGCTTATATAATAAATGGAGACATAATTTATGTGTCTAACTTTCTGGAATAGTTTGTATGAAATTGATATTACTTCTTTCTTAAATGTTTGGTTGAATTTACTAGTGAGGCCATCTGGGCCTAAAGTTCTCTTTGTGAAAAAGTTTTCTATCTACTGAAGATATGTTGTTTCTTACTGGGCCCTTGGTTCCACTATATTTTTAAGTCTTAAGAGGTTTTTTTTTTCAGTCCAATGGTCTTCACAGGGCAATTCTCCAGCTCAGAAAATGTTGAGACATGGGAATACATTATTAGGAACCATTTTACAGAAAATAAGAATCTTAGCAGCAATATGTCAGCACAGTGTCACTGTGAAACAGCTGAAAATGTGAGGGGTAGTATATAAAAAGGAAAGTACAGAAAGAGCAGGAGCCTGACCCTATGGAGCATACAAAGCAAAAACCTTTTCTTATAGTGCCACCTTGTACCACTTCTGGAAACCTACTCAGTTTTCTGGAGTGAACGTGGGGTGAATATGAATGTGGAGTCCATGACATCACTAGAATTACACACAGTTTTCACTCGAGATAATGAGTGTGATATACGGTTCAGAGAGAAAGAGGCTATGGCTCAATAACATTGAAGGGAAAACAGAAGCATTACATAAGATCCACTGAATAGTTGCTATTACCACAGCAAATTCTAACAATTGTTAGAATCATAGGATGTCTCTAATTCTGTTAAGCAAAAAGCAATATTCAAAATAGATATTTCTATGATCCCAGAACTATATTCTATGAGTAATTTCATGATGGGAGACAGCTCTAAATTGTTTATATTTTTAGGTTCTGGTTTCTGAAAAATTGGCACAGTGTATGTGAAATACTGACAAGGCTAAAACCAAAATTTTTTGTTTTCCTGTCATTTTTTTCCCTACACTTCCCTAGAAAACAGAAATTATCTACTATTTTCCTTGGTTAACAATGTCAATGTGTGTATAAACTATATTATGCACTGGGTGTTTGTAATATAATAGAGAAGAAAAATTTGCTTTTACTTTTTAAATGCTTAGATATTGGTGTTAATGTCTCAGAAAGCTTACAGAATGAATAGGCCAGATGCGGAGGCTCACACCTGTAATCACAGCACATTGGGAAGCTGAGGCTGGTGGATCGCTTGAGCTCACAAGTTCCAGACTAGCCTGGCCAGCATGGTGAAAACCCATCTCTACAAAAAAAAAAAAAATTTTTAGCTGGGCATGGTGGTGCCCAATTTTAGTCCCAGCTACTTGGGAGGCTGAGGTGAGAGGATGGCTTGAGCCCAGGAGCCACTGCACTCCAGCCTGGGCAATAGAGCCAGAATTTGTCTCTAATAATAATAATAATAATAATAATAATAATAATAAAATCTTACTGCATGAATGCAGAGCGGTGAAGAGGTGATCATACTGAGCATAGTTGTTCTGTGACAAGAAATTTGGAGACAGAGATATTTTTAAAGAGGGGGAGGAGAAGAGAAGCAGAAAGATATGAATGTGAACACTAGTCTATTGTTTAACACACGTTGTTCAGTAGAGAAACTAAGTCAAATAACGGTCATTGTCTTACAAGATTCCCTCCTTTCTAGAGAAGTGAACTTCAGTGGACAGGATAAAAACAATAAAAGCTGACACTTATTGAGTGTTTATTACCTGACAGACTGTTTTCTCAGCATGAAATATCTACCTACTCATTAAATAGCTTTTACACATGTAAAATATTACAACAGTCATGTTATGAAATGAATGTTTATGTTTCCGCAAAATTCATATGCTGAAATCCTAACCTCCAATGTGATGGTGTTAAGAGGTAGGACCTTTTGAGAGGGTATTTAAGTCATGAGAGTAGGGCCTTCATGAATGGGATTAATGCCCTTATAAGAAGAAATATAAGAGAGGTAATTTCTCTCTCAGCCATGTGAGGATAAAACTCATCTGCAAACCAGGAAGAGGGCCCTCACCAAATGCCAGACACCTTCAGCTGCTGAAACCTTGTTCTTGGAATTCGCAGCCTCTATAACTGTGAGAAATAAATGTTTGTTATTTAAGTCACACATATTATGGTATTCTATTATAGCAGCACAGGCTGAGGTGAGCTTTTTCAGGGATGTGTTGTTACTATTCCGATTTTAACATGAGAAAATTGAGGTATCGTGAAGTTAAGGAACTTGTTAGGATCACAAGCTGTTCAGTTGTGGTTTCAATGGCTGAAGAACATTGAAGGAAAGACAAGCATTGGATTAGATGCACTTTGGATCAACTCCTGTGCCTGCACTATACTATATTCCATAATTTCTATTCTATTCAATTATTTATTCCATAATTTGGCAAAATATTTGTATAAATTTTATCTGCTCTAACATAATATGAGGAATGCAAGATACATATGTTTCTCCTAACAAATAACTATAAAATAAAGTTGAAGCCTTTTTAAATAGTTGTAAAGTACCTGTATGATGCATCATGATTTAGTGAACCATTCCTTACTCTCCCTTATTACTTCTCAAATATGCTCAAACATTTCACTCAAGCCTTTCAAAATCAGATTAGCTATAGTAATTACCCAATTATTCATTAAATATTTTTTATTTTATAAATATCAGAAAACAAGCATAGTTTAAAATAAAAACAATTCAAGGTATCCAGAGGGTAACTCTGTAATGATGAAATGTGTAATTCACCATGTAGCTATAATTGTCATAATTATTTTTCCAAAATATTTTACTGGAGACATTGTACAAGACCAGTAGAAATCCAGGAAGGAATCTGTTTAAGAATCTAGAGAGATGAAGTGAATGTTTTCATTGGTACAACCTACTAAATTTCAAATAGCTCATTTAATAGGCATAAAATAAATTTTTAAAATTCTAACTAATATGCAAACACTGTAATAGTTTAATTGATAATTTAATTTTACTTTTTGGTAAAATAAGAAAAAATAAGTATAGTAGATTATTCTCATGCTGCTATGAAGGAATACCTGAGACTGGGTATTTTATAAAGAAAAGAAGTTTAATTGACTCACAGTTCCACATGGCTGAAGAGGCCTCAGGACACACTCATGGCAGAAGGCACCTCTTCACAGGGCAGCATGAGAGAGAATGAGAGCCAGCAGGGGAAATGCCAGACACTTATAAAACCATCAGATTTCATGAGAACTCACTCATTATCGTAAGAACAGCATGGAAAAAACTTCACCCATGATTCAATGACCTCCTACCAGGTTCCTCCCACAACATGTGGGGATTATGGGATTACGCTTCAAGATGAGATTTGGGTGGGGACACAAAGTTCATACCATATTATTCTGCCCTGGCCTCTCCCCTGTCTCATGTCCTCACATTTCAAAACACAATTATGCCCTTCCAACAGTCCCCAAAAGTCTCTACTCATTCCAGCGTTATAACCTAAAAGTCCAAGTCCAAAGTCTCATCTGAGACAAGGTAAGTTCCTTCTGCCTTTGAGCCTGTAATATCAAAAGCAAGTTAGTTACTTCCTAGATACAATAGGAATAAAGGCATTGGGTAAATACACCCATTCCAAATGGGAGAAATTGGCCTAAACAAAAGGGCTATAGGCCCTATGAAACTCTAAAATCCAATAGGAGACTCATTAAACATTAAACCTTAAAATTCCAAAATGATCTTTGACTCCATGTCTCACACCCAGATCATGCTAATGCAAGAGGTGGGCTTTCATGGCCTTGGGCAGCTCTATCCTGTGGCTTTGCAGTGTACAGACCCCCTCCTGGCTGCTTTCACAGCTGGTGTTGAGTGTCTGCAGCTTTTCCAGGTGCATGGTGCAAGCTGTCGGTGGATCATCCATTCTGGGATCTGAAGGTCACTGGACCTCTTCTCACAGCTTCACTAGGCAGTGCCCCAGTGGGAACATTGTGGGGGGCTCCAACCCTACATTTCCTTTCTGTTCTTCCCTAGGAGAGGTTTTCCGTGAGGGCTTGACTTCTGCCTGGACATCCAGGCATCTCCATACATCCTCTGAAATTTAGGCAGAGGTTCTCAAACCCCAATTCTTCTCTTCTGCATAACCACAGGCCCAAAACCAAGTGGAAGCTGCCAAGATCTGGGGCTTGCTTTCTCTGAAGCAATGGCCTGAGCCATATGTTGGCTCCTTTTAGCCATGACTGGAGCAGCTGGGACACAGGGCACCGAGTCCAAGGCTGCAACACAGCAGGGGGGCCGTGGACTCAGCCCATGAAACCATTTTTCCCCCTAGTCGTCTGGGCCTGAAATAGGAGCAGCTGCCATGAAGACTCTTGACATGTCCTGGAGACATTTTCTCCATTGTCTTGGCGATTAGCATTTGGCTCCATATTACTTATGCAGATTTCTGCAACCAGCTTGAATTTGTCTCCAGAAAATGGGCTTTTCTTTTCTACTGCATCATCAGGTTGCAAATTTTTCAAACTTTTATGTTCTGCTTCCTCTTGAATTCTTTCCCACTTAGAAATTTCTTCTGCCAGGTACCTTAAATCATCTCTCTCAAGTTCAAAGTTCCACAGATCTCTAAGGCAGGGGCAAAATGCCAACTGTCTCTTTGCATAGTAAGAGTAACCTTCACTCCATTTCCCAACAAGTTCCTCATCTCCGTCTGAGACTACCTCAGCCTGGACTTTACTGTTCATATCACTATTGGCATTTTGGTCAAAGCCATTCAACAAGTCTCTAGGAAGTTCCAAACTTGCCCACATCTTCCTGTCTTCTTCTGAGCTTTGCAAACTATTCCAACCTCTGTTACCAAGTTCCAAAGTCACTTCCACATTTTTGGGTACCTTTATAGCAGAACCCCACTTCTGTTCCCAATTTACTCTATTAGTCCATTCTCACACTGTTTTGAAAAAATACCCAAGACTGGTTATTTTATGAAGAAAAGAGGTTTAATTGACTCCCATTTCTGCATCATTGGGGAGGCCTCAGGACACTTACAATCATGGGGAAGACACCTCTTCACAGGGCAGCAGGAGAGAGAATGACAGTCAGCAGGACAACTGCCAGATGCTTATAAAACCATCAGATCTTGTGAGAACTCACCCACTATCATGAGAACAGCATGGGGAAAACCAACCCCATGATTCAATTACCACCTACCAGGTCCCTCCCACAACATGGGGAGATTATGGGATTACAATTCAGGATGAGATCTGGCCTGAAACGCAAAGCCAAACCATATCAATAAGCATCTAATATAAAATGTCATCTTCAATTCAATGAATTAAAGCAACATTCTACTGTTTAGTGGAATAGCTACCCCAAAGCTATAAGATGTGAAATTGGAAAGCAAAGGTGAAAGTACAATTGATCCCTTCCACCACTATTCCCAATAATCCACATGCATAGTAATAAATTATTCATTCCATCCTGAAAAATTTGATTAAAGGTCCTAACTCATGAGGAGCAGGGAGGAGTTATTTCTGCCAGAAAACACAGTATCCTATTGAATGTGAAGCTGCCACTACCCACTAGTCACTCTATGCTCTTCAGGCTGTGGATCAGTGAACAAAGGGAGGAATTAGTTTACTGGCAGTTGTAACAGCTCCAGATTATCATGAGAAACTGTAATTCTTCTTTACAGTTGGAACTCTAGGAAAAATGCCTAGAAATTAGGAGATTCATTGGGAACCACTGGATGCACATTTGTCCAAAGATACCAGTAAATAATTGCGACCAAAGCAACTAAGGACTTAGATCCATCAAGCATAGATATGAGAGTTCCTTTACAATGTAAGCAATGCTGACTGACCAACGTTATGCCCAGTGGTAAGAGACATCCAGAATAAGTAGTGGAGAATGAAGATAATGAAAATGAATTTCAGCTACAAGAGCAGTTGCAGCAGCAAGGATTGTTACTTAAAGCCACCACCCTGAAGAAAACATCGTGACTGATTGTACTTTCCCTCTCAGAGAAAACTAAGAGCATTAAGCTTGCACACATGTATCCCCTCTTACAATATTACAGATTGCAATAAAGAAGGTACAAAGATAATATGAGTAGTGCAGTGGACTATATCAGACTTTCCTGATTAACAACTTTATCCTCTCTTGTCCTTACCTTCCTTTTATTTTATCTTCTTCCTGAGCTCTGTTATTGTATTACCAGACCCTGATAATACTAGACCCTAAATGTAATCTTATCAGAAGAATTATCTATTTTTTCCTAAAACCAATGTATTCATTTCTGAATTTATATTAACATGCATTCCTTTCTATGTATAAATTATATAGGGGTAAATATTAATTTGAATCATTTATAACTATAAAAATCTAATATATTTCAGTATTTGAATACAGCAATATTTAAGATTCGTTTGAATTTTTTTTAAGGTCACAAGTTTAAGTAGCAAACTGATATCTGAACTTATAATACCTTGATTTCAATTTCTAAATTTTAACTGTCACTACATTCTACCTCCACATTTCAAAAAAAAATACAGAATAGTACTGTAAAAGTTAAAGAAACATTGGTAATTAGAGGGAGAAATCATTCTCGTAATAGAAAGTAAAATAGAGTAACATATAATTTGTTTTAAATTAAAATAATGGAATCTCTTTGGAATCTGATTGTGTAATTTTTAATTTATTTTGAAGAAAAAGAAGTCAGGCATATGCATGACAATTTGTGAAATGTCTAATAATGTGGACCTTTGCCTACCAAATGTTAAAACTCTAATAATATAGATTATGTACAATATTTCAAAAAACAAACAAATAAATTAATAGATTAGAACAGCCATCCCCAACCTTCTTGGCAGCAGGGACTGGTTTCATGGAAGACAATTTTTCCACCAGTGGAGGAATAGGGAGGTTGGTTTTGGGATGAAACTGTTCCACCTCAGATCACCAGGCCTTTGATTCTCATAAGGAGTGCACAACCTATATCCCTCACATGTGCAGTTCACAATAGGGTTCACAGTCCTATGAGAATAAAATGCTGCTGTTGATCTGACCGGAAGTGGAGCTCAGGTGGTAATGCTCACTCTCTTGCTGCTCACCTCCTACTGCGCGACCAAATTCCTAACAGACAATGGAGCAGTACTAGTCCATGGCCCAGGGGTTGTGAACCCTTGAAATAGAATACAGTCTAGAAATAGACCATAATATATGGGTTTAGGGAAGGATTATTCAGTAAGAGGAGATGGGATCTTCTATTCTTTTAGTTTTGGGGAAAAATTAAATTTCATTGTATCACCACATTACTTGTCAAAATTAATCTGAGATGTATCAAAAACAGTGGTTTTCATATTTTGTGACCCTGTAGCAGGATAGTTTTTATCAAAAGGAAACTTATTTGAAATTTAAGTACATTGTTCTATACCTAACAAATAAAAAGAGAGATCTTCTATGGTTTAAAACAGACAAAATATCAGAGATCATACTTAAAAAGACCCAGAATTAATGAGTGAAATAAAAAGAGGGGTGGGGGAAATGTGAGATGTTAGCCTCTAAAAGTTGACTTTCACCACAGTATTGATTACAACAAATTGTTTCTCTAGTTTTAAGAGCTATTCAAAAACTTTATATATCTAGAATGCTCTTTTGAAATCTGGCACCCATTAACATACAGGCAGATTTACTTATTAATAAGTAAAGGCATCCCCTTTAATTCTGTCTAGGTTAAGGCAATAATAAAGTTAAATTGAGCAAGGAAAGCCACAATATTTTATGATGTTAAATTTTCTTTATATGTGTTATACATGACTGTTTTTCATCAAAAGCATATTAATAGTGATATGTTTTATTGTGAAGTTAATTTTATAAAACTTGATGATTATTCTAAATAAAGCTTTTTGAGGAAACTAAAAATGTAGTTTATGTTGATTTTTTTTAAAGCTGATGTTTTAAGAGTATGTAATGTTATCTACTTGGGTGTATTTGTCCGTTTTCACACTGCTGTAAAGAAATACCTGAGACTGGGTAAATTATAAAGAAAAGAGGTATAACGGACTCACAGTTCCGCATGACTGGAGAGGTTTCAGGAAATTACAATCATGGTGGAAGGTGAAGGGAAAGCAAGGTATGTGTCGCATGGCAGCAGGAGAGAGAGAGAGAGAGAAGGAAGTGGTGCTACAATTTTAAACCATCAGTTCTCATAAGAACTCATTCACTATCACAAGAACAACATGGGAAAACCTGTCCCCATGATCCAATCACCTCCTACCAGGTCCCTCCCTTGACACATGAGGATTACAATTGAGAAGCGATTGGGTGGGGACACAGAGCCAAATCATATCATTGGGTATTTATAAAATTGTGTTTAATGTTTATACCTGGTTCTGTAACTGTGACTATGCCATATTCATCTACTGCTTGTGTATAGATGCATAAAAAATGAAATACAAACAATTGGAATATTTTATTACAATATACAGTAATTGGTATGTAATAATTTTACTCTCTATAAAACATTATATAAGATAAAATTTCTTTCTTTGTTTAGGTGATATAAGAGCAATGTTGATTATTTTTAAATTAAGGGGTTAAAATATTTTGGCCCAATAATACACATGCTAGTGTGCCTTTCTTTATCGTCTTTTCTTCCCTTTCCTCCTTCCCACTTTCCTCATTTTTACTCTTTTTACTGCCTTCCCTTCTTCTTTTCTGTCTCTCTCCCACTTGCTCTTGTTCTCACTATGCTTTCCCAGGACTATTGTTTACTTTTCTCCTTATAAAACCAATTAATAAGGTCTGTTTTCCAAAAGGGTAATCACATCCTTTGTAGGAAGCAGACCTTTGTTTCATGCCCATGGCAAGATCGCATGCTTCACTAAGCAGACAGTACATTCAGGTTTCACATCTGTCTCTCTCTTTCTCTCTCTGCTTTTATTTTTTCCTTTTTTCTTCTTTTTTTTTTTTTTTTTTTTTTTTACCTCAAGCCATTAGGAAGAAGGAGGGTATTCTTTTCTCAAAGCACCTGCATTTAATTGTAGGTTATTGTTTGTCCCACTGGAAGACATGAACAGCTGGATTAAAATACACTGTACTGATAGAAAACAAAAACAAAAAAAACAATCAAAAGAGAACATTGTCATTTGGAGAATGATTTGCATCCTTCAGAAGCAAAAACAAAACAACCAAATTAAATAGAAGCTCTCGATCTATAGAACTTAGGTGTTTTGGTTTGCTGGGATTTTATTTTTACCTTCCTCTTCCTTTGACTCCATCATGTTAACACTTTGAACTAAAAGCATTATAATCAGAAAGTCAATATACTGAAAAGTATCTATTAAAACCTCACCTTAGAGAAAAAAAATACGTAGTTTACTGAGCTTTCAGTCTTTTGTTTATTAGTGGAAAGATTTCCCACACAGCCTTCGCTGCTACTCAAAGTCTACATCTGAATCCATATAATTCAATAAGATCAAGGCATTGTCTTTTTAGGAGAGATTTACTTAGAATATATAAATTTTAACTTAAGTTACAGCTGTAAATATATTTTTCATCCTGTTGTCTATATAAAGTTTTAATTGGTTATTTATGAAAGGTTATAAAATCCAGACACAAAAGAATAGGAAAAGTGTGCACATTTTAAATTTCATAATAATTGCTTTCTATATTTACAGGAGTGTTTTATGGAATAGAAACTGTAGCCAGAAAGTTGCAAACACAACTGCAAAAATTCCTTTCTCCCACAGTTTATATTTAATGTTCCCACTGACTATGCTATTGTAGGGTGAGAAATGATAATAAAACTGGAAATGTTGTCTGGACTTAAACATGTGTACTGGGTATATCTTTTTTGGCAAACTTATTGCAGTTCAAAAGTAACATGATACGCATTTCCAAAATGGGACAGGAGAATCTGAAGTTATATTTGGCTCTTTTTACTATCTCATTTTATTCTTGCATCTATGCATATTGAAAATCTAAAACATCTAATTTTATAACTTATATTTACAGTATAAACTAATATAAAATATCTAGAATACAAAATTTAGATATTATGAAATATCAACAGGATATAAAGAACAGTCAATGTGAGCCTGTCTATGATCATATAAGCACTGACAAGTCAGACAGAACATTGTCTTTATATTATGTGGCACTTTGAGGGCAGGCTTCTGTGTCATCATGCAAAAGGTTCTAGGAGCTGTCACTCTCTCAATTCAGTGTTACAATATGACAATCTCCACCTTTTCAGGATAAAAAGAAATTAAAGCCCTTATAAATAATGAAGGTTTATGGATATTAAAAAAACTTAATGGAATGAATTGAGAATAGGAAGAATTTGAATGAATTCTTAAAATCGGTAGTACTAAAAGCAAATTATAAATATTAATTTAAAATTTGTCAGCACTGGTTACTCTTCGTTTACCATTTCCAAGATGCAGATATTCTGCCTGCTGCAGAATTGAATATTGTTTTATAAATTAGCTTTATAATTTATAGCCAGTAAATAATTTTAATTCTTCTCTGTATACCATTTCCATAAAACCCATCTATAGCTGCTATACGAAACGTACAATTTTAGTTTCTCTATTTATTATTATCATTAGGATTATTCTTGATTTGCTTTGTTCCTTTCCAATTTTATTTTGTAGAATGTATGTTTTCCCCATTAATGTGTATCGGTATATACATAATGTGTGAAACTTTAAAAATCCATTTACTTTAGTTGTTCTTCTTTTTTATTTTGTTTTATTTATTTTTTAAGATGGAGTTTCCCTCTCATTGCTCAGGCTGGAATGCAATGGTTGGATCTCGGCTCACTGCAACCTCTGCCTCCCGGGTTCAAGCAAGTAGTTAGGACTACAGGCATGAGCCACCTAATTTTGTATTTTTTTTAGTAGAGATGGGGTTTCTTCATGTTGGTCAAGCTGGTCTTGAACCCCTGACCTCAGGTGATCTGCCCACCTTGGCCTTCCAAATTGCTGGGATTACAGGCAGGAGCCACTGCGCCCAGCCTTAGTTGTTCTTCTTAAGACATTGGTAATTTAACCCATTCATTTAGACTCAATTTATTATAAATTCATTTATTAATTAAATTCTTTATTTCCTGCAATTAATTCAACACTTAAGGAAATCTTGTTATTGGTAGGCACTATGAATTCATGGAAAATAAATTCAGGAAAATATGTATTGAAAGTATAATTATTTGTACGAATATATATTCATCAATTATACTTAAGAAATTGATACATGTCAAAAATCAGAAATTCAACAAAAATAGAAAGCATATGTAAAATTTTTGACAAATACAAAAAATTAAATCAGTTTTATTGAATTCAGACATTGCTTTAAGTTTTGTGAGATAAATAAGATCAAAGTTGAGTTGTTTCACAATGAAACTTTGTTTTTCTTTTTTTGCCATTGATATCATTAGGTTGGTGCAAAATTGTGTTTTTTTGCCATTGCTTTTAATATCTATGAATTGAAGATTTTAAAAAGGTTCTAATATGTGATATGTGTGAAGTTTGGAGAAGACTGCTTGGATTGGTAACATCTTTGTTATGGACTAACTGCAAGGCCTTAAAACAAGTAATAAGATCTACTAATAACAGTGATGAGTAAGCCATTTGAATATATATATATGGACGTGTATTTATCCACTGTGCTTAGAACAGTGATTGTCACATACGTCTTACAAAAATTATTGTCACCTTTATTATTGTTTTCATCTCTTGTCCAAGTGCCAAACTAATTGAGAAATTAGATGAAACTACAAGACATGGTAGAAACAAAAGAGTACATTTGTTGGGGAACAAGCTGATGTTGTAGAAGGTGGCTTATATCAGAGCAGATTGGTTTCCAAAAACTGCATCCCAGAAGGTGAGACAGATTTCTCACTTTCTCATAGCCAGTGTTACATTAGAACTTAACATTAGAACAGATATCTCTGCTACAGCAGCAGTGTATATGGCTGAAATTTTTAAGACATGAAGGGGTATCAAAGAAAAGGAGAGTTGTGAGCTACCAAAAGAGAAGAAAGGAAGACACTACACACTAAATTTTCTCTTTTTAAAAATACCAAATCACAAAATCATTCCACCAAAGATACAGCATAGGCAAGTGAAGCAGATAAAAGAGGAAAGAAATTTTACACTAATGGTGCTCCCTTAAAAAGTATGTAAATTTTAAGAAAAGGAAATAAGCCGCTAGCAAAACAATGGGTTATTAAATTTATCATGGCAAATCATAGAACAAAGATAAGTAGATCTTTGGGTTCTCTTAGATTATTTTCTGGAGGACTGAAAAAGTTTGACTAGGAAGTATATTCTTTAATACAGATAGGGAATCAAGTAATGTCCTCTGGATTAATTCATTTATTTTTAATAGATATTTATTGCCATTGAGGATACAAAAATCATCAAAACAAATTGTGTCCTATTGAAGAGTCAGTAGGTATAGAAACAGGAACAGATACAGAAAATAAGTACGGATATTGGTGTAATATAAGCAGATATGTCTCTTCATACATGTTCATTTTATTTTGGAATAGAACAATTTAATTAGCAGAGAAATTGTGTTTAGTACAGTTAGGGATGAGATTCATTCATTTATTATTGAACAGGGATTTATAGCCTATGAAAATACAGCAAGATAGAAAGCAAATCCCTATCTTCAAAGAGCTTGCTTATCTATACATAGATGTGTATCAAGATTTAATATTAATATATCTAATTATTCTAAATACTAATTATAAATGTTAATTGCTCATTGCAAATTTTGTTTAGAAATTCAAATGCATAAGGCCAATTGAATAAATGTAAATGTTTTAAAGTGTAGAATTTAAAAAAAAATGTTAGTTGTTGGGAAAATAGTCTTTTAACCATTCTAAGAAAGGTAAACCATGGAATACTATGCACCCGTAAAAAAGGATGAGTTCATGTTCTTTGCAGGGACATGGATGAAGCTAGAAACCATCATTCTCAGCAAACTATTGCAAAGACAGAAAACCAAACACCACATGTTCTCACTCATAGGTGGGAATTGAACAATGAGAACACTTGGACACAGGGTGGGGAACATCACACACAAGAGTCTGTCGTGGGGTGGGGGAGGGGGGAGAGATAGCATTAAGAGAAATACCTAATGTAAATGAGTTAATGGGTGCAGCACACCAACATAGCACATGTATACATATGTAACAAACCTGCACATTTTGCACAGGTACCCTAGAACTTAAAGTATAATAATAAAAAAAAGTAAGTATATCCTTAATATCATTTTAGTAATACAGAGAATATAAGTAAATCTTACATAAATTAAGGTCTCTATAACCTTCAGTCTAAAGAATGTGAGCATGTAATTTTGAAATCTTTTTTTACTGGATTTTTGTTAGTTTGGTTTGCATATGATTTTTTAAATTGCTATTTTTAAAGAGTTTCGTGAACTATTCTTATTATTCTTTATAGATATTAAAATAATTGTGTAAATTTGTGATAAAAGTCTTACCCTACTAGAACCATTCTAAAATATGGTGGAAAACTGGACATTCTGGCAAAGCTCAGAGTTTTTTTTTTGATGATGAGACCATTAGCATACATGGATCAATAATAAATTTTTTACTAAATTACCACTTACTTTTCTACAGAATTAAATATTACTCTAGGAGTCTGAAATTCATGGTGCTTTCTTATATGAAACATGAAGTCACTGACAAAGTCTTACTTATTTTCTTAAAAATACTTAAAATTTTTCATAGCTTAGTTCAAAGGTCAGGACTTTTTAAAAAATCACATAAGTAATTGAAGGTAAGGACAATAACCATGACTTTGTTTATGATCATTAGCCAATGTTTTTGAAGTTCTACCTGGCATTAGAAATAACAAGTAAAATATAGCACTCAAAAATATAAATCTTATTTTGGATATTATAAAAATATTCATTGCTGACATGCTCAAAAATCTCATTACATTGTAGTATATATATTACTTACAGGTGCACATGTATTTGAGAAAAATATATACACTTGTTATGAATGTGATTATATTCATGCCTTTTTCAGGTGTTAGGTTTATAAGGATTGCTAAAATTAGAAGGAATTTTTCAAATTTTGGCTTTTATCAACTACTATTTTTTGGTTCAGTAGTTAATAAATATGTAACCTTGGACTTCGTTATTACTCAGTTTCCAGATGTGTGATAGAGATAATAATATTACTCATTTCCTAGAGACAATGTGAGCCTTAAATTACTGCCTACATGCAAATTCTTAGTGTCTGACACAGAATAAGTGCTCCAGAAATTATAACTATTATTATTGTTGTTATTATCACTGTTATTTTACAATAACTTTAAAACATGAGAAGGACATAATATGGCCCCTACTCCAGGCCCTTTCATTTTACAAATGAACAACATAAAGCTTAAAAAGGATATGCAAGTTGCCTACTCTCACAAAATAATTGAGACGCAAAGATTAACCAGAAAGTAAGACAAGGTTTCTGAACCAAAATTTATTCTGATCCATTGCATTTTCTTACCACAAAATACATTAAGGATTTTTAACTTTTATTAAGATTGATTTCAAAGAAAGGCTAAATTGTATGTTAGAGATTTACCTTTATTTTATATTTTCATTTTAACAAACCAGCTGCAACTAAATAAATCTACAATCTTGAGAGAAAACTACATTTATTTTAGGTTCAGGGGTACATGTGCAGGTTTGTTATATAGGTAAGTTTTGAGTCATGGGGCTTTGTTGTTCAGTTTATTTCATCATTCAGGTATTAAGTATAGCACCTGAGAGGGAGTTTTTTGATTCTCACCCTCCTCCCACCCTCCACCCGCAGTAGGTCCCAGTGTCTGTTGTTTCCTTCTTTGTGTCCATAGGTACGAAATGTTTAGCTTCCACTTATAAGTGAGAACGTGTGGTATTTGGTTTTTTGTTCCTATGTTAGTTTGCCTAGGACACTGGTCTCCAGCTTCGCCTATGTTGCTGCAAAGGACGTGATTTTGTTCTTTTTATGGCTGCATCATATTCCATGGTGTGTATGTGACACGTTTTCTTTATCCAGTCTACCGTTGATGGGCATTTAGGTTGATTCCGTGTCTTTGCTATTGTGAACAGTGCTGTGATGAACATACATGTGCATATGTCTTTATGGTAGAATGATATATATTCCTTTGGGTATATACTCAATAATGGGATTGCTGGGTCAAATAGTAACTCTGTTTTCAGTTCATTGATAAATTGCCAAACTGCTTTCTGCAATGGCTGAAATAATTTACATTCCCATCAGCAGTGTATAAGCATTCCCTTTTCTCCACAACCTCACCAGCATCCGTTATTTTCTGACTTTTTATTAATAGTAATAACCATTCTGACTGATGTGAGACGGTATCTCATTGTGGGTTTGATTTGAGTTTCTCTAATGATAAGTGATGTTGGGCATTTTTTTCATATGTTTCTTGGCCATGTATATGTCTCCTTTTAAAAAATGTCTGTTCATATTCTTTCCCCACTTTTTAATGAGGTTGTTTTTTGCTTGCAAATATGTTTAAGCTCCTTATAGATTCTGGATATTAGAACTTTGTTGGATGCATAGTTTGTGAATATTTTCTCCCAGTCTCTAGGTTGTCTTTTGATAGTTTCTTTTGCTGTGTAGAAACTCTTTAGTTTGATTAGGTCCTATTTGTCAATTTTTGTTTTCGTTGCAATTGCTTTTGGCATCTCTATCACGAAATTTTTGTCAGGGCCATGTCCAGAATGGTATTTCCTAGGTTATCTTCCAGGGTTTTTTACAGTTTTGGGTTTTATGTTAAATATTTAGTCCATCTTGAGTTGATTTTTGTATGTGATATAAGGAAAGGGTTGTTTCAATCTTCTGCATATAGCTAGCAAGTTATCCCAACAGTATTTATTAAAAAGGGGTTCGTTTCCCCTTTGCTTGTTTCTGTTGACTTTGTCAAAGATCAGGTGGTTTTAGGTGTACCGTATTATTTCTGGGCTCTCTATTCTCTTCCATTCTATGTGTCTGTTTTGGTTACGGTAGCCTTGTAGTGTAGCTTCTACTTTTAGTAGTTATAAATATAACTATAGTGTAATACATCAAATCAAATTTTAATAATCTAGGCATTAAAATGTATAAACTTATTTACACATTTAAAATTATACTTGGTATATGTATATGTATATAATTTGTATAACGTATAACCGATTACAGAATGACACGTTATGACACAAAATCCCTGAAATGCTGAAAATAATGTCAATTAGTCCCACAAATATTTATTAGGTGCTAATTCTTGAGGAGGTTTTAGTTGTAGTTCTGCTTACTTCCCTTATAGATGTTTAATTTTTCAACATTAATTTAGTGATAGAGTAGTTTATTACTATTTTCCTACAATAGTACATAGTAGCTTGCTATATAATTTTTAAAATACAGTTATGTGTCAGTTAATGGAGGGGATACATTTTGAGAAATGCATCATTAGATGATTTCATTATTGTGCAATCATAGAGTGTACTCACACAAACCTAGGTGGTATAGCCTACTACAGACCTAGGCTATATGGTGTAGCTTATTGCTCGTGTGCTACAAACATGCACAACATGCTACTGCACTGAATGCTGTGGGGAATTGTAACACAATGATAAGTATTTGATTATCTAAATATAGAAAATGTACAGTAAAAATATGATATAAAATGGACAAATGGTATACCTGTATATAGCACTTATTAGGAATGGAGCTTGCAGGACTGGAAGTTGCATTAGGTGGGTGAGTGAGTGGGTGGTGAGTGAACACGAAGGCCTAGGACATTACTGCACACCACTGTAGACTTTACAAACACTCTACACTTAGGCTACATTAAATTTATAAGAATATATTTTGCTCAATAATAAGTTAACTTCAGCTTACTGTAACAATTTTACTTTATAAACTTTTTACTTTTTTAAACTTTTGGACTCATTTTTACAAACACTTAGCTCAAAACACAAAAACATTATAACACTATACAAAAATGTTTTCTTCTTACATGCTTATTCTATCAGCTTTTTTTCTATTTTTAAAACTTTCTAGCTTATATTTTACTCTTTAAACTTTTTGTTAAAAACTAAGACACAACCACACACATTAGCCTAGACCTACACAAGATCCGAATTATCAATATCACTATCTTCCACCTCCACATCTTATCATACTGGCAGGTTTTCAGGGGTAATAATGCATGGAGCTGTCATTTCCTATGATAGAAGTGCTCTTTTCCACCTTCTAAAGGACTTGCCTAAGGCTATTTTCCAATTAACTTATTTTTAACATGTAGAAGTACACTCTGAAAGAATGATTAAAAAGTGTAATAAATACATAACCTTGTAATATACTCATTTATTATCATTATCTAGTATTATGTACTGTCCATAATTATATGTGCTATACTTTTTTTGACTGTCAGCACAGTGATTTTGTTTATACTAACATCGCCACAAACACTTGAGTTATGCGTTGTGCTGCAATGCTATCACGGCATCACTAGGTGATAGGAATTTTTCAGTTCCTTTATAATCTTATGGGACCACTGTTGTATATGGCATTAGACATTGACAAAAACATCCTTATGTGGTGCATGACTGCAGTGTGATAAAGTCAACTCAGAAAAACAAAATTAGCCTTTTCTTTTTTATTATATACTTAAAACTACGCACTTATGTTCTCTTAATTTGCTGCTGTTTGTCATAGAATATATATTCTAATTTTAAATTTGACATTCTGACGAATACAAAAGGGGTACATTAAATATTTTAAAAATCTCTTTCATCATGTTACTGAGCACGGTCGAGCTTAATTTTCCTTTAACTTTTCCACATCATTCTGTTTAGAGGAGGAGTACATATTTTGCAAAATGTGCCTGGGAAAAACAAGGGCATTAATGAAAGATTTCACAGGTGCACATTAGGTATTTTCATTCAGAAAGGGAAATGTTTTATCTCATATTGTTTTTGGAAATAGTAAGAATTACTAGGTCACACAGTAGAGGTGTATTTGAGATGCATTATATTCCCTGAATACCAGAAATGAGGGACTAACATTCTTAATTGTTACAACCATAGAGGCTTAGCTTTACTGGTATTACTATGAAATCTAATATAAGACAAAATCATATGATTAATGGTAAATATTGCTTTCAGTCCTTTTCTAAAAATGAAAATGTTTTCTGGCAAGTTTTGTTTTAGCAGTTTTAATTCAAATTAATCTACATTACCATAACATTCTAAGTTAGCCTAATTCTATTCAGTCTAAAATGATGAAAACTTGTCATGAACCTAAAGTATTATTCTATTAACGGGTTAATTTTCAACAGACATTTTCATGAAAGGGCAAGTTCAATTTTCCATTCAAAGGGAATTTTAATTTGTTTCTTGCCATTCTCCAAACATTTATGGAATTCCATTCCATTTTACTACAAAAGGAATTTCATTATAGATAAGTTTACAAATAATAAGATTCAATCTTAATTTAGAAATAATTGAGTATAGCTTCTTTTCAGTGAAATAAGCATGCTAAATGCCTCACGATAAAGAGAAAAATGTCTAAACACAGAGCCCACTGCCTGTTCATATAAAGAACGCTTGCTCCTTAGTGTCTTCACATCAAAAATTGCTGCAATGAGGAACTCTGTAAAATATTATCCTGGATTTTAGTTTTGCACATATATAGATACTTAAAATGCTGAGAGTCTATTTCCTAAAGCATATAAGTAAAATGCTATGTTGAAAATGTAGATTTCTTTATTTTTTTTTAATTGGGAAAATTAGACAAACAAACAGTATAAGTAAAAAAGAAGGCAAAGTCTCCACATGCACCAGTCTTTTTTTTTTTTTCTCATGTTCTTTCCTCAGATGATCCTTTAAAGAGCTGATTTTTTCTTCTGAAAGCTGTTGCTTTTTTACTTGGCAAATAAATTATGTGGTTAGTGCAAAAGGAAAAAGTAGGAAGGTTAAAGCAGAAGAAAGTTAATCGCACAGTTACACCATCTGCTTCAACTTTTGTCATCCATACTCCCACTGAGCAATGTAAGCATGTATTGACATATTCCCTTAAATTGAAGGCTGCAAGGTGCAGAATAGTTTGCTTAATTTAAATCTCCTTTCCTAGAGAGTCAACAACATAAGAATTTGGAAAGCATTATAATGAGGTGGTTAGGAGCATATATTTGACATCAGACTGAAATATGTTCAAATTCAGGCTCTGGCACATTATAGATGTAAGAATTTGGCAACTTGCTTAACCTTTCAAACCTGAATCTTCAACTCATATATTTTTTTTCTCCCAAAATGTCTACCTCAAAAGTTTTTATGATAACCAAATAAAATTATGTATAAACAACACCCAGCACAGTAATTCTCATGTACTCAGCAAGTAAAAGTAGTTTGTGTGTGCTAAAATTATGGCAAAATATACTTAGGAATTATAACAAATACAACTACTATGTTGCCATACAGATGAAATAATCTTGAGAGAGGATATATACAAGATTTTCATGTTTCTTTCTGCAAGATTGTTTGTTTTACAAAAAAACCTTACATTTCTCCAATTGTTTGGCAGTATATATTCCTAAAGGAGATATTTGAATATCAAGTTGTGGGTACTTGAGTGAACAGCAGGGGTAATGTATGAGCAGATATGCTTATTAATGATATAACAGAAACATTGAAACTTGGATTATCTCTGTAACTGTAGCTTAGACTTTCTATGAACTCTGGGTTCACAGAGAGCCACATTAGGCCAGCTGTGGTAGATCGCGCCTATAATCCTAGCACTTTGGGAGTCTGAGGAAGGCTGATCACTTGAGCCCAGGAGTTTGAGACCAGCTGGGCTAATGAGAATTTGTCTCTACTAAAAATAGAAAAATTAGTTGAATATGCTTATAGTCCCAGCTACTCAAGAGGCTGAGGTGGGAGAATTACTTGAGCCTGGGAATTTGAAGTTACTGTGAGTTATGATCATGCCACTGCACACCAGCCTGGGCAACACAGCAAGGCACTGTCTCAAAAAAAAAAAAAAAAAGGCACATTATTGTAAATTTTTCAACAACTTGCATTTCAGAATTTTTCTTTGGGGTACTTTTGACTAACTTTTTTTCTTATTATACTTTAAGTTCTGGGATACATGTGTAGAACGTGTAGGTTTGTTACATAGGTATACACGTGCCATGGTGGTTTGCTGCACCCATCAACCCATCATCTACATTAGGTATTTCTCCTACTGCTATCCCTCCCCTAGTCCCCCAGCCCCTGACAGGTCTCAGTGTGTGTTGTTACCCTTCCTGTGCCCATGTATTCTCATTGTTCAACTTCCAATTATGAGTGAGGACATGTGCTGTTTGCTTTTCTGTTCCTGTGTTAGTTTGCTGAGAATGATGGTTTCCAGCTTCATCCATGTCTTTGCAAAGGACATGAACTCTTCCACTTTTATGGCTGCATAGTATTCCATGGTGTATATGTGCCACATTTTCTTTATCCAGTCTATCATTGATGGGCATTTGGGTTGGTTCCAAGTCTTTGCTATTGTGAATAGTGCTGCAATAAATATATGTGTGCATGTGTTTTTATAGTAGAATGATTTATAATCCTTTGGGTATGTACCCAGTAATGGGATTGCTGGGTCAAATGGTATTTCTGGTTCTAAATCCTTGAGGAATTGCCACACTGTCCTGTACAATGGTTGTACTAATTTACACTCCCACCAACAGAGTAAAAGCTTTCCTGTTTCTCCACATCCTCTTCAGCATCTGTTGTTTCCTGACTTTTTAAATAATTGCCATTCTAACTGGCATGAGATGGTATTTTATTGTGGTTTTGATTTGCATTTCTCTAATGACCAGTGACAATGAGTTTTTTTTTTTTTTTTCCTGTTTCTTAAACTGTGCAGGAGCTCTTTGCTTTAATTAGATTCCATTTGTCGATTTTGGCTGTTGTTGTCATTGCTTTTGGTGTTTTAGTCATGAAGTCTTTGCTATGCCTATGTCCTGAATGGTATTACCTAGGTTTTCTTTGGGGTTTCATTAGATCTTATGTTTAAGTCTTTAACCCATCTTGAGTTAATTTTTGTATAAAGTGTAAGGAAGGGGACCAGTTTCAGTTTTCTGCATATGGCTAGCCAGTTTTTCCAACACAATTTATTGAATAGGGAATCCTTTTCCCATTGTTTGTTTTTGTCAGGTTTGTCAAAAACCAGGTACTTGTAGATGTGTGGCATTATTTCTGAGTCCTCTATTCTGTTCCATTGGTCTATATATCTGTTTTTGTACCAGTACCATGCTGTTTTGGTTACTGTAGCCTTGTAGTATAGTTCGAAGTCAGGTAGCATGATGCTTCCAGCTTTGTTCTTTTTGCTTAGCCTGTCTTGGCTATACAGGCTCATTTTAGGTTCCATATGAAATTTAAAGTACTTTTTTTTTCCAATTCTGTGAAGAAAGTCAGTGGTAGCTTGATGGGGATAGCATTGAATCTATACATTACTTTAAGTAGTGTGGCCATTTTCACGATATTGATTCTTCCTATCCATAGCATGGAATGTTTTTCCATTTATTTGTGTCCTCTCATTTCCTCAAGCAGTGGTTTGTGGTTCTCCTTGAAGAGGTCCTTCACATACCTTTTAAGTTGTATTCCTAGTTATTTTCTTCTCTTTGTAGCAATTGTGAATGGGAGTTCACTCATGATTTGACTCTCTGTTTGTCTATTATTGGTGTATAAGAATGCTTGTGACTTTTGCACATTGATTTTGTATCCTGAGACTTTGCTGAAGTTGCTTATCAGTTGAAGGAGATTCTGGGCTGAGACAATGGGGTTTTCTAAATATACAATCATGTCATCTGTAAACAGAGACAATTTGACTTTCTCTCTTCCTATTTGAATACGCTTTTTCCTTCTCTTGCCTGATTGCCTTAGCCAGAACTTCCAATACTATGTTGAATGGGAGTGGTGAGAGAGGGCATCCCTGTCTTTTGCCTGTTTTCAAAGGGAATGCTTCCAGTTTTTGCCCATTCAATATGATATTGACTGTGGGTTTGTCATAAACAGCTCTTATTATTTTGAGATACGTTCCACTGATAACTAGTTTATTGAGAGTTTTCAGCAAGAAGGGGTGTTGAATTTTATCAAAGGCCTTTTCTGCATCTATTGAGATACTCTTGTGATTTTTGTCATTGGTTCTGTTTATGTGATGGATTACGTTTACTGATTTGCATGTATTGAACCAGCTTTGCATCCCAGGGATGGAGCCAACTTGATCGTGGTGGGTAAGCTTTTGATGTGCTTCTCAATTTGGTTTCCCAGTATTTCATTGAGGATTTTCACATCGATGTTCATCAGGGATATTGGCCTGAAGTTTTCTTTTTTTGTTGTTTCTCTGCCAGCTTTTGGTATCATGATGGTGCTGGCCTCATAAAATGAGTTAGGGAGGAGTCACTCTTTTTCTATTGTTTGAAATAGTTTCAGAAAGATGGTACCAGCTCCTCTTTGTACCGCTGGTAAAATTCGGCTGTGAATCCGTCTGGTCCTGGACTTTTTTTGGTTGGTAAGCTATTAATTACTGCCTCAATTTCAGAACTTGTTATTGGTCTGTTCAGGGATTCAACTTCTTCCTGGTTTAATCTTGGGAGGGTGTATGTGTCCAGTAATTTAATCCATTTCTTATAGATTTTCTAGTTTATTTGCATAGAGGTGTTTATAGTATTCTCTGATGGTAGTTTGTATTTCTGTCAGAACAGTGGTGATATCCCCTTTATTATTTTTTATTGCGCCTATTTGATTCTTCTCTCTTTTCTTCTATTAGTCTTGCTAGTGTTCTATCTATTTTGTCAATCTTTTCAAAAACCAGCTCCTGGATTTAATGATTTTTTTGAAGGGTTTTTTGTGTCTCTATCTCCTTCAGTTCTGCTCTGATCTTAGTTATTTCTTGTCTTCTGCTAGCTTTTGAATTTGTTTGCTCATGCTTCTCTAGTTCTTTTAATTGTGATGTTAGGGTGTCGATTTTATATCTTTCCCCCTTTCTCCTGTGGCCATTTAGTGCTATATATTTCCCTCTAAGGCTGGGCGCGGTGGCTCACGCCTATAATCCCAGCACTTTGGGAGGCCGAGGTGAGCGGATAACGAGGTCAGGAGATCGAGACCATCCTGGCTAACACGGTGAAACCCCATCTCTACTAAAAATCAAAAAATTAGCTGGGCGGGGTAGCGGGTGTCTGTAGTCCCAGCTACTTGGGAGGCTGAGGGGGGAGGAGTGGCGTGAACCCGGGAGGCGGAGCTTGCAGTGAGCCGAGATTGTGCCACTGCACTCCAGCCTGGGCGAAAGAGCGAGACTCCATCTAAAAAAAAAAAAAAAAAAAAAAAATTCCTCTAAACACTGCTTTAGCTGTGTCCCAGAGATTCTGGTACATTATGCCTTTGTTCTCATTGGTTTCAAAGAACTTATTTATTTCTGCCTTAATTTCCTTATTTACCCAGTAGTCATTCAGGAGCAGGTTTTTCCATTTCCATGTAGTTGTGTGGTTTTGAGCAAGTTTCTTAATCCTAAGTTTAAATTTGATTGCACTGTGGTCTCAGAGTCTATTTGTTATGATTTTCATTATTTTGCATTTGCTGAGGAGTGTTGTACCTCCAGTTATGTGGTCAATTTTAGAATAATTATGATGTGGTGCTGAGAAGAATGTATATTCTGTTGATTTGGGGTGAAGAGTCCTGTAGATGTCTATTAGGTCCGCTTGGTCCAGAGCTGAGTTCAAGTCCTGAATATCCGTGTTAACCTTCTGTCTCATTGATCTAATATTGACAGTGGAGTGTTAAAGTCTCCCACTATTACGGTGTGAGAGTCTAAGTCTCTTTGTAGGTCTCTAAGAACTTGCTTTATGAATCTGGTTGCTCCTGAATTGGGCGTATATATATTTGACTAACTTTTAACTAAGAACCCTGGGGCTTAAGAACAAATCTGAATAGAGACTGGGCAATAGCGACTGGAGGTTGTAAAGAGATTTCATCCTTACAAATGATTGTCCAAGTAGGGTCGGCACTTCTTTGGGCTCGGTCCAAAGCTGGCATTGCTTCCTAGATTAATTTAGAGTAATTTTTGACATGGCTTTTCACTATTTAACCTGTCTGTATTCCAATTGTGCCTGGCACATCCTTGAATACCATGTCATGGTTCTGTGTGGGAGGCCTGTCACAGCCTTCCAGACAAAGATGAGATAGTTTAGATGCTTAGACTATTGCAGGAAGTATTATTATATTTTTCCAGCTTAGTATTATTGCAGCTTTTAGCATGTAAGCTCTTACTATGTTTGTGTTTTTTCTCGCAGAATACCTTCCTGATTCAGAAATTTCCACCAATAATACTGGTTTAGTCTACTACTTTCTTTCTTTTTTAAAATAAGTAGTAATGTGATATTGTTTGTAGCATAAATAATATATAATCTTGCTATTGTGACAACACAAGAAATATATAATTTATCTTTCCTATTCAATATTTGACATCTAATTTGATTTAGCCCCAGATTGTGTGCCAAGTTTTTTCTATTGTTATTATTTGTTCAGCATTCTTGTTAAATTTACGTTCAAAGCCTATATCATATTTACAAATGTATTTCCAAAGCCTACTGTAACCTTAAAAAATAATAATACAGAAGTCTGTGTCTTTTAATATACTAAGTTATTCTATTTAAATCTCTTAATATATTTGGCCTCCATCCTCCATTATATTTTTCTTTCTGGTATCCCTGCTTCCCCTTCGTCGAATATTCAATTCATATTCTTTCTCTTTACCTTTTTAAAAAATGATGAATTATTTTAAACTAGTCATATAGAGCTAAATAAAACAGTGGCATTATTAATACAAGTTGCAGGCATAATATTTTTATCTAGTTCTGAATGTGTTTCCACATCTACCTTTTCACGCTGTGCCTGAGCTAGCTCCGACTGGATGAGTAAGTAGGCAAGGGATATTTAAGCAGAGATTCTGGTTAGAGTGTTTGCAAACAAAGTAGCTAGGAAGTCTGGACCCACATGGATAAAAAAGTGAGAAAGATTTAATCTGGGGGTGTGTACTCTATAAATTTTTATTTTTAAACTTTCTCTCATCCATAGATTTTCTTTATTTTCACTTTTGGGCTTAAACAATTTCTCATGATTATGGGGTCTAGAAGGCCAAGAGCAAGGTGTTGGCAGGTTTAGTTTCTCCTTAGGCCTCTCTCCTTGGCTTGTAGATGATCACCGTTTTGCTGTGTTCTTTCATTACATAGAGTTTTCCCATTTTTATTGATAAGGTTCAAAGCAGCATTTGTCTATTTCTCTCTCGTGATAACATACAGAGTAAGAAGGTGCAAAGGCACAATCCCACATTATTTACAGAGTCTATGTGGGGTTTACACCTGAGAATACAGAGATACAGGATGAAGGCTTAAAATGAACCCTAGGTCCAAATTTTCCAAATTTGTTCAAGTAATTATTCTAAGTTTGGCTCCTGCCTTCTTTTCCTAGTTCTTTTCATCCACAATCATATTTTCTGGGGATCCTTTGAGAAGAGAAGCCCTCACTGCTACACTCATTCTCCCCTGTGGCATGAAAGTTTGCTGGCTTCATAGGATGAATTCTCCTAAAAACTAAAAAAACTCAGCCTTTTATGAAAGGTTGCCATCTTAAAGATAGGGTGTTGAAAATATACATTCCTACTTCCATTACTTTTATGTATGGGTTCCTTACTCCTTTTTGTTCTTATTGTTCTTTCAGTAAAATTGTATTTTAGGAGAGAGAAATATATTTAGTATAAAGTTTTAAAGGAGAAAGTAAAGATAGTCTATTGGAAAGGGTTTGAGCGTCCATTGATGTTCTGTGTTGCCAATAAATGGCAAGGGTGTTTAGATTAATGTCCTGATGAAAAAGAAACTTTGTGTAGCTTAAATAACATGACTTGGCTAGAGATATGTAATAAAATATTCAAGCATTTGGTGATTTCATTATTTTCATTATTCCAGGAAGCACTTTAATTTTTAAAGAATATTAAATACCTAAAATTCATTGGAATTAGATGATGCATTAGTCCTTTATGATAGACTTTGTTTTACTCAAATCATTTGTACTTATAAAATGAATGGCTAGACTTACCTGGAAGTCAATTAATTTTTAGGAGAGTATTAGCAAAGAGCTATTTACTTTAAAAGCAGACATTTTGAAAAATTTATTTTCTTTGCCATTTATTTTACTTGTTATATTTTCTTTCTGAGAGCCCTTTAATTTGTTTACTTAAGTAGCAATACTTAATCCACATGGTTGATCTTTAAAAGCTGGGAATTTGGAAACATCTACATTTTATGACAAAATAGCCCTCACGAAATACTTTTTTCATATTCTTCTTTTTAGCTAATCTATAAATCAGGCATTAGATGTGCGTTTTTTTGTATTATACAAATTAATATTAACAAATAAAAACTATTTGTATGAAATACGTATATCTAGTGCAATATATTATTAACCTTATATGCTATTATTCTTTTTAAGTATATTTTCCTATCTGGCCATCATGCACTGAATAGAAATCCTTGCAGTAAATAGAAATCCTTTTATAAAAGCTTTCTACTTTTCTGGAGTCAGACTGTCTGGTTCTTACTATCTAATTCATTTAGAGACATTCAACAACAAAAATGAATATTAAGGGTGACAATTCACCACAAAATCTATCATGAAAATAACTAAACTAAGTGATATTATATTCAGAGATATATAATGAGAGGCAGAGATCTCCAGCCATCCTGTACTATTGAACTAGTTCACCGTATCTCCAGAAAGAATTTTTACAAATGTTACCTTAGAATGCTTGGCAAGAAACTGAATGCAGATGTCAACATTACAGGGAGCTTATGCTGTTTGGAAGTAAAGGACACAATTCTCTTTTCAAACTTGCTGAAAAGAAAGCTCATAGGGAAAAAAATGAATGACAATAAATATAAACTTCAGGCTACATTTTGTATTACAAAGAAGAGGACCTTTTATTTACAAAGAGGAGGTCTTGAGTGGAAAGACCAAACTAGTCTCAATTTAATACTTCTTCATTTAAAACACTGTTTTCAAACAAGGAAGCCAAGCTATTCTTTTTAATGATCATTACTTTAAGTTCCAAGGAGCAAAGAGAATGGGTTGCCATATTGGAAATTCCAAATGTAGAGAAGAGATAAACCCAAAATGCCTGAAAATATGAAAGGGTAAAATGTATACTTGCTACAATTGTTCTATTTAGAATAGTTGGGAACAGACAGTTCCTGGAAATTCTTATTAAGAAGAGTTGTGGCAGACATTGAGGATCACCACCTCCATTTCTGCATAAATCTTTGTAATGGGTGTTCATAAAAAATATACTTCTTAGGTCTAATCACTAATCTTTCATGTAGCATGATTTCACTTCCAGAATGCTTTTAAACACCTGTGATAAAATCTATGCCTCCACCACAATGGATAGACTCTGTTTAACTAACTGAAGAATAAAATTGATTTTTACAAATATATTTGAATTTATTTATTGATAATAAATAATAGACATATAAAAGGTAAAAGGCTAAAACATGCCTTGGTGTAAATTTTTCATAGAAGGAAAATAACATGAAATATTTCATCTTGAAGCAACTTTTTGATTATTTAATAAAACTATTTTTGGTTTTTGCTGCCAGGAAATATGTATGTTTTCCCAAGTCCCTTTTACCTAGTGTTGAGATTTCTTTCCAATTTGATCTTGAGGTCACTCTGGAGGGTGACTGTGAACTCTAGCCCTGCCTCTACAGGGCTTCAGTGGAGGTGGTCATGAATCTTTATAGTGTGTGCCTCAGAGGATACTTCTTTATGCTGGCAGATGGCCTAATGCCTAATTGCCTGACCTGTGGCCAGGTGTTCCTCTCACAGGAAGCTTGTTTATACTTGCACACACTCCAGTAGTTCTTGTCTGACAGTGTGCAGTTATTCCTACCAAGATAGCCACACTCTAAGAAAGCCCTGACTGGGAGGATACTTAGATTCCAGAGTGGTCTTATGTGGTCTAGTGAGACACAGAGGAGGCAGGACAACAAAACACATGAAATAATGGAAACAGCTTTATTACTTACAGAGAGAAGAGGGTGGCATGCCTCACAGAGCCAATGAAAGTGGGGAGCCATCTGGAACACACAAATTCAACCACAGTGGGGAGCAAGAGAGAGCAAGGGCAAGTGACCTGAGTGTAAAAGCCTTTATTGGGGTCCACGGTGTTACCCAAGCAGGTTTTCTATATTAACTTCTTATTGGCGGGTTCAAAGTAAGCAGGTCGGTGCTCCATGCAGGTATGCTGTGAGAGGGTGTCACTGTGGCATACCTGCACAGGCCATATGGTGGGGGTGGGAATAGGGGGCAAGTCAACTAGGTTGTATCTGCTGTCCCATAGGGAAGTGGTTGCCAGGAAACAGTTGCATGAGGCAAATATTTGAATCAAATTATTGTGAAATTGGTAGGAGGTGGAGATCTGGAAGTGTTCCAAGGGTGCATAATCCTTGTTTCTGATATGAGAAAGTCAAACTTACATTTAAAATGGATGTCAAAGAAACATAAACTTAGTAGAATGTACTACAACTCAACAATTGAATTTAGGCCTTTCCCAAGTTAAAGTTCAGAAATACATGATTGTATATTTGATAATACAAAGGGGTTTATAATAAAAATGAAAACATTTCCCACTAATGCACAACAACGTCTCACTCACTCCCCAGAAGCTGCAACACATTTGGAGCACATTTACAGAGTTATGGAACTGAGGCTTCTGTACAATCTGCTACCCCAAAATCTGGAGAGATAGGCAAATGAAAAGAGTGAGAACCAAGATTTTCTTAGAGCAAATGCCACTGGGTTCATAAACTGGTTAAAAAAATATTAAAAATAAAACTTTACATGGTAGTTTTGACAAATTTTTGGAGTATGAGTGTAGAATAACTTGAGAACAGTGAGAAACCAGATACTTTTCCATGCAAACTGGGAGGATGTCATCTTTCTCACTACTTCTATTCAATATTTTATTGGAAGGCCTAGCAAGGCTTTACCACAAACACACCAAAGGAGATAAAAAGTGCACACACTGAAAAGAAAGAAAACGTGTCTTGTTCACAAATAATGTAGTTGTCCATATAAAAAACTCCAAGTATTGGCAAGAAACCTCCTGTAACTAATAAGTAAGTAATGCAAAGTAGCAGCTGGACCTTGGTTTCAAATTCTATTTTTTAATGAAAAGAATTAGGGCTCCTTGGAGAAACGGCTAGATTTAAGATTGGGTCAGGAAATACAAAAGATGGTTTTGGAGTACCTAGTTGTTCCAGAAAGTAAGGCAGTACCAAATGAACAAACAACTGCTAAAACAAAAACCCACCTACACAAAATGGTGGAGATATGCCAAAAAGTATATGCAAGTTAAAAGAAAGAACTCCCAATAACCAAAGCAGGAACAATTGGATCGACTACAACAAGAAAGTAGAATTGGATTATAACTCAATGTGTCAAATAAATATCCATGAGTCTAGAATGATACAGATAAATGATTAAATAAATAAATGGGTGGAAGAGACAAATCACTCTTGAAACAGAGACCTAAATAAACATGTACATACTCTGCTCTAACAAAGAGGAGGCATAACTCCCAACTCCTTCAGTGTGGGTTGCACATATAGTCATCCCTCAGTATCCTGGGAGATTGACTTGAAGACAACTGCCCCACACCAAAATCAGTGGGTAGTCAAGTTTCTTGTATAAAATGTCACAGTATTTGCATATAGCCTACACACATCCACTTTTTCTCATATACTTTAAATCGCCTCTAGATGATTTACAATACAAATGCAATCTAAATACATAAATGCTATGTGAATATTTATACTGTATTTTTAATTGTATTCTTTTTAATTCTTGTATTGTTATTTTTATTGTGCATTGTTTTTAAAAAATATATGTGTGATCTACAGTTGGTTGAATCTGTAAATACAGAACCCATGAATACTGAAAACCAACTGTAGTAACTTTCTTCAAAAGAGTACATTATGGAAAGGGAGAAAAAAAAGAATAACTTTACAGTGGTGAAATCTTACAAACAATATTATAGTGAGGTGATCAAGGTCAATATAAGCAGTGATAATTTATGTTGATAGTGTCTACGCTTGATATGAGTTAATTAAAATGGCTCTTTTCCTCTATGACTTGCCCTCCTCAAAATTCATAACATCTGTGTAATCATAAAAAAAATTAGAAAAATCCCAATTGTGGGACATTCTACAAAATGCACAAACAGTATTTCTCACAACTTTCAAAGTTATTAAAAACGAGCATAAGGAAAGCCTAGAGAGGCCTGATGATTGAATGCCATGTTGTATCTTGGATGGGATGCTTGAAGAGAAAAGGACATTAGGAAAAACTAAGGAAATCTAAATGAAGCATGGACTTCAGTGAATATAAATGTATCAATATTGGTTTATTAATTGTGATAAATGTATCATACTAATATAAGATTTTAATAATGGGAAAATGTACTGATTGTACTCTCTTTGCAATTTTTCTGTAAATCTCAAAGTTAAAAAATTAATTTAAAACATTTATTAAAAGTTGATTTAAAATATGTGGTGGTATACTTTTACTAATGTTCTTTATCTAATTGTATGGATTCATAGTATTAATGGATAATATCATCTCTCAAATATGTTAATTTTTAAGGGTTTAATGTCCAGTCACTTTTAGAATTTCATGTGAAATATTTAATATTTGAGGAAAATGCATTTAAAAGAGCAGTTAAAAATATATCCTCTAGATATTTATCTAAAATATATTTATTGAGGGCCTAGTACATAGTTAGCTTGATACTGCACCAGAAAGACTATTATGCTTGCCTTCACAGAATATCCAGCCCCCAAATCTAGTTAAATTACTAGTAATATAGATGAAGTTAATCACCTGAACTGCATTTTAGATTTATATTAAAATATTTAAAAATAATCATTTACTCTTACAATGATGACAAACAACATTATTTACTGTTATTTATCATTTTCAACAATTTTATTTTTCATTCACCTAAAAACTCACTTTTTCAACACCTTTTAGAAACTTATTGCTTGTTAAATTGATGATGAAATTATATGAGGTAAATATTTGTATTATTTCATATGAGAAAGTGTACATCCTCCTTATAAATTGGGGAAAACATCATATTTTTGCTAAATTCTGACTAAAATCTTTTTTTCTTCAGACTGGCCGGGCCCAGTGGCTCACGCCTGTAGTCCCAGCACTTTGGGAGGCCGAGACAGGTGAATCGCCTGAGGTCAGGAGTTCGAGACCAGCCTGACCAACACAGAGAAACCCGTCTGTACTAAAAATACAAAATTAGCCAGATGTAGTGGTGGGTAATCCCAGCTACTCAGGAGGCTGAGGCAGGAGAATCACTTGAACCTGAGAGGCAGAGGTTGCAGTGAGCCAAGATCGCACCATCGCACTCCAGCCTGGGCAACAAGAGCAAAACTCCATCTTAAAAAAAAAAAAAAAAAAAAGAATTCCCACCAAATTCATAATATCAAAAGTCAGTAAATCGTACATGTAAATATTAGCCAATTCATGTCCTAGTCATTTGACATT
Organism: Homo sapiens; assembly: GCF_000001405.40. Lineage (NCBI taxonomy): Eukaryota > Metazoa > Chordata > Mammalia > Primates > Hominidae > Homo > Homo sapiens. The sequence goes on along the minus strand of NC_000004.12, from coordinate 134,705,064 downwards.
GGCCTTTTGATAGTGTTATTTGCCAATTTAGTCAAATGAAACTGTTTACCTTCTTGTGCTGTATGCCTCAGAAATAATCTAAGCCCCGAGCAAACACAGGGCTCAGTAAGAAGAGAGGACCCAGAGAGATCACAGAGTCTGGTACAACTAGGGTTGGTGTCAGAAGAGGAGACCAAGTAATAGAAGACACTTAAAGGGTGACAGTTTAGAAATAATTATTTGGGTTTGGAATTATTGATGATATAAAAATTCAATACCTAATCTGTATAAATTTAATTAAAGATCATTAAATGAGGCATTCATTTCCCTGGAAAACAAACACAAGTTAATAGGAACTTAATATTCTGGGTAGAACTATGAAAGATCAATCAACAGAAGGTGCTGAGAGAAAGGAATATTAGAAAAAATATGTTTCCTTCCAAAATCAGGAGAGAAATTTCCCTTACATGAGGACTTTATGGAAATGGAACCTGTGTAGTCTATGACACAAGCATGTTTACAGAAGATATTGGATTCCTTATTCATCCAGCATACTCCATGAAGTGAAGTGTTCAAAAATACTTTTCTCAACTTTGGATGTGCAACCAGGCCCAAATCAGAAAAGATGCTGGTACTTGGGAATAGAGTTTAACAGGGAAATGCAACTTTAGTTTCTCCTGGGCTGTTGTCTTCTTGCCAGCCCAGGCAAGAAGGGCTTCACTTCCTAATAGAAAATGAAATAGTTTGAGTCTCCAAAGAATGTGAACTTCAAAGAGCAATAAGAGTAAGACACTTGGAGCTAACTTTTGAAGCATGGAGTTAACTTTTTCAAGATAGATAAAAGAAATTTATTTAGTGAAAGTATAACTAAGTTAGCTAAAATCTAATCAACAAATTTTAATGAAAGAGAAATAGAGATTCTAGACATCTCATTTCCTCGTAAAATAGAGAATTTCAAAATGGATTTTTTTCTGGGACAATTAAAGTTCACTGGCTTTGTGCCTGACTACTACTTCACATACCAGGAACCTAGTCCTCTGATCTTAGCTACTGCCCTGCATGTGCAGTGCTAGCCTGTTGCACATGTCAATACCTGGAATAACTTCTGGACATGTGCAGTTCCAGCCCTCCCTATAATAAGCCATAACTGGCAGCCCCATGACTATGCCAACCAATTGGTTTCTAACTTTGATCATCGTCTATGCAATCTGGTTAAACTAGCTTTACATCCGGTATCACCTAGATCAATCTATAATGGTCTTCCCATAATTTTACCATAACCACATGAATCTACTAGTTTACTTATTGTGTCTCCTCACTTCTGACATTTTCACTTATTTTAATTACTTTGATTATTAAAGACTAACAGGTTAAACAAGCATAACACACATATGTATACGTGAACATGAATAATAATATTGTAAAATTTTTCAGCAGATTTTTTGAGTAGCCCTGTTGTATCATCAAGTAGTTAATATCAGTCCTACATGAGCAATTTGATTTCCAGTGCCTGGAAATTCATTTAATACATATTACACTCACTTTTTTGAAGGCTATTGATAATTTTTTCCATGATAATATCATGTGAATGTATGCCATAAAATTGAAGTAATCTGGCTATTTCTAAAAATTGACTGAAGAGTATATAATATCTCTTCTCATTTTAAGTTATTACATAAGGTGGAAAAAAATGTATGATTAAGAAAAAGAATGTTGAAGTCAAATACAATTCTCTTATTTGCTCTGTGACCTTTGGTGTATTAGTTAACTTGCACAGGAGAAAATAACACACACCTCAAAGAGCCATTGTAAAAATTAAAAATATACATCATTTTACAAATATGTATTTACAAAATGCACAGCACACTGCTTGGGGTTTAATAAATGGTTGTTGTAGCTAAAAGTATGCACATGTCTGAACATTCATTTTTGGTGACATGAAAACACATCTCCTAAATGAAATCGGTTTTTAAAGAAGAACATCCAAAAGCTGCTGTGTTGTTAAAAGCAAATTACCACACTAATATAATTTAAAACACTGGATTCTCATGTCAAAAACACAAGACATGAAAAAATGACATCAATTGTTCACAATGTAAGGATAAAATATAAATGAAATGTAAAAACAGGACTAGAGGGGGCCTTTTATTCTCCCTTATTTATTTCTTTAATTGTACCAAACATATTAGCCAAAAGAGGAAAAAGGCAAGTTACAAGCTACATTCAATTTATTGGTAAAATACATGCGTGGAGTTTTCCAGATATTAAACCACATTAGCTAATCACATTTTTTCAAAAGAATAGAACCGGTTAAATCATGTAAAATCTGTTTCCCCTATGAGATTGGGTAAAATAGATACATTGTACCCATTTAAAGATGTATATTTATGGCCTCAATGCTCTGCTGTAGCCACCCTCTGCACAGTGTTAAGCTGTTCGATTTCACTCTTATTTGAAAGATAACAGCCGACAGATCTGTCAGACTTTAAGCTGCCAATCATTTAGAGAGCTTCATTTGTCTCGATTAAATAAGCACTAGTTATTAAAGCTGGGCCTTGACATCCAGAAAAGCCTGTGGTTGTGTTTAGATGACAAGAGAGGTCTGTCTGCCACAGACTGATGCATCATTCCTGGAGCCACTCTTAACAGTTAAGGGGCCAGTGAAAGAATTCTGTTCAATATTAACCTCCCTCTTCTCAGTCAAAGCATTCAAGAAGCTGTTTTCAACCAGTAAATTAAAAATAAGATTTAACGTATATATTAAAGTAATATATTGAATTACTGAATTAGTTTTATACAAAAGATAAAATACTGTCAAATTTAGCTAGAAACAATATATTATGATCATTTTATTCCTACTTACCAAATAAAGTTGCTGTTACTATTTTTTTGGCTAAATAAATTTTTTTGACTGGTCTACATTTGCACATTTTACTTGGAAAGAGTACTGTATGTGACACAGGAGAAGATAAACATCACTACACATGTAAGCCATTTAAAAAGGCTTTCGGACTAGAATGGTGTGATTGTGCTGTAGCTAGAAATTGAACATATCCAATTCTCTGAGAAAGAATAATAATCTCAGTATGAAATATGATAACATATTCTTTGCAATCTTTTATCTGATTAAAGCAATGTTTGCCACTACAATATAATAGATAAAATATGCCAATTGAAGAATTTCTGTCTTCCTAAATTAATGTATATATTTATTATCTGCGTATTACATCTAATAGGATAGATTTCTGAACAATGCGCCGTTTCAAAAACTTAATGTATTCTTAATTTCTAGTTACTGCTCAGCAGTGCTGGTTTGAATAATAATATTCTACTGGAACTAAATCAGATATAGCGGGGGAACTATGATTATTCATATGAAATTTCTAAAGGTCATTTTAAGAAGTATAGAGAGCTATATATATATGTCTTATCCAAGTACCATAGGGAAGACAATTTAGAAAGGGAAAATAAAGAATTTGTTTTTCTGTGATTCTCTTCTTATTTCTTAGTTAGAAATGAGGTAGGATAACATACACACTTTTTTATTATTCAAAGTGGTCTCAACGGGAAATAAACAAGGAGGCAAGGAAACATATCAACACAGCAGTTTTGGTGAACAACAATCAGTGAATTTAGCTGCTATCATCTTTATGCCATACTCCTCACTGTATTTGAGAATTAAAAAACTAAATATTTTATAAGGTTAAATTATATCATTAAAATAAGCTAATTCTATGCAGCTTTCCATTTCCAACCTAACTAGCTTTATACCATTATGTAGATATTAGCTGTACATTATCTAAGGGTGTTGTCAATGTTTAAGTAAGAATTTTTTAACAATTTTATTTTTTCAAGCCAGTTGTACAAAAGCAATTTTTTATGTGGATAACTGAATTAGAAGAAAGCTTTTGCCTGAACTATTCAAATTATTCAAGTTTCAACATGTTTGTTTCCCAAACAAACTCAGTGATTGAGACTTAAAAAAAATTACAAGGAAATCTGAATCTGAATCTAAATTTCTCTATATTGATATATTGATAATCTTATTTCAGTCTCCCAACTTCATTATGTCTTTTAATCGAAACTATATACAGTTTCTAAATACAATTTTACACAAACTTGCAGCATATAAATTTTAAAACATTAAAGTTTTAGAACCTTTATTTGTGAAACTGCATTGTATTTGTTCATACTTTTAAAAATTGTCTCAAAAGAGAGCCATTCAGTACATAATAAGGCCATATTTTTATAATTATGAGTTAGGCATTAAAGTTTAGAGTTGAATATTCAAATATTTTTACATAGTATTTATTTTAATTAAATACACATTAAGTTTTAAATGCCTATATATTGTAAACAAACTGCTTTTAATATATACTTAGTAACACAACTGGATGATGTGGTGATTATAGTTTCATAGGATGGAATACTTCAAATTATAAAGGGAAAATTCATATGCAATGTGTGAATATTTTACTTTTTTCATCATACAAACTTGATATGTTTGCATTAGAAATTGATTATCATCTAAAAATACGCATGTTTTCAATATTATTATAAAGGAAAATAAATCAGCTGAGCAGAACCGTGCAGAATTTGACAGATGAGAAATCTGTCTATATCTAGAAGTTGTGCAATAGTACATATTCTTGAGAGACGATGCAATCCATGTCATTAAATTTCAAGAAACACATGTTAAAATATGATAATTAATTGAAACATATTATTTGTATATTATCTTCAGTACACAACTACCTTTGTGAAAAGGACCAAAATAGTCCAATTAGGTTAATGCCGAAGATTTTTTTTATTATACAGTTTTTAGTTCATATATAAATTTCAAAAGTAAAAAAACACAATACAATGAGCGTAATATTCCTTTATGTGTTTTGGCATATTTGTTTAATTAAGCCTTATAAGTAGACATTTTGGTTATTTCCAATTTTTTGCCATTACCTATAATCCTATAGTGAAAATATACTTTTGGCATATGTATGTCCTTCTTGAATCAAAAAATAAGTCCATTTAAAATTGAGATAGATATTGCCAAGTTGCATTCCAGGAAGATTGTATTAATTTATATTTCTATCCACAGCATAAGATAGATAATCCCTAAAATACTACACTTGAAAACTGTAAGACAAATGATATTTCATTGCTGTTTTAATTTGTAGTTAAGTATAATTTCTATGTTTAATGTTAATTTTTATTTTTTCTGAAATTTACTTCATTTCTTTTGTATAATTTTAATTATTTCTGAAGTTTTTATGATTTTTTTAATCATAAGACTAGCAATTTATGGACACAGTTTGTTGATGCTCTTCTTTTTGGTCTCTACCTTTGTGTCACACTTGGAAGTCTTTTTTAAGCTTATAAAAATAGTGCCAATATTTCTGGTTCTGTGTTTTATAAGAACTTGATTTACAAGAAATTTATTTTGAATGCAGAAGATTCTTAAGGTAACAATAAGTCATAAGGAGGGAAAAAGTTTCTGAATCTTGACTTAAACTTATTTTTTCATGTTGAAATGAAAAATTATTTTTAATGCAAAACAAGCCTTTTTTCTTCCCTTCCTCTTTTCCTCCCTTCTTCTCTGGATTCCTTCCTTCCTTCCTTCCTTCTTCCCTTCCTTCCTTCCTTATTTCCTTCCTTCCTTATTTCCTTCCTTCCTTCTTCCTTCCTTCCTTATTTCCTTCCTTCCTTCTATCGGGGGAAACAGCCCCCAATATTTCAACGTGGGTTCTTTTCTATTTTCCGTAAGTGTTGGCCAGTCTCAGAAATAAAGGGAAAGAGTACAAAAGAGAGACATTTTAAAGCTGGGTGTCTGGGGGAGACATCATATGTCAGCAAGTTCCATGATGCCCCCTGAGCCATAAAACCAGCAAGTTTTTATTAGCAATTTTCAAAGAGGAGGGAGTGTACGAAAAGGGTGTGGGTCGCAGAGATCACATGCTTCAAAGGCAACAGAAGATCACAAGGCAGAAGGTCAGGGCAAGATCACAAGGTCAGGGTGAAACTAGAATTACTAATGAAGTTCCATGTCCCGCTGTGCAAGCATTGTCATTGATAAACATCTTAACAGGATTCAAGAGCAGAGAACCAGTCTGACTAGAATTCGCCAGGCTGGAATTTCCTAATCCTAGCAAGCCTGGGGGTGCTGCAGGAGGCCAGGGCATGTTACATCCCTTATCTACAACTGCATAAGGCAGACATCCCCAGAGTGGCCATTTTAGAGGCCCCTCTGGGAAAGCATTCTTTTCCCATGACTGTTAATTATTAATATTCCTCACTGGGGAAAGAATTCAGTGATATTTCTCTTACCCATTTTCGGCAATGAGAGAAATATGGCTCTGTCCTGCCTGGCTCCCAGGCAGTCAGACCTAATGGTTATCTCCCTTGTTCCCTGAACATTGCTGTTATCCTGTTCTTTTTTCAAGGTGCCCAGATTTCATATTGTTCAAACACACATGCTCTAGGAACAATTTGTGCAGTTAATGCAATCATCACAGGGACCTGAGGCGACATACATCCTCAGCTTATGAAGATGACAAGATTAAGAGATTAAAGTAAAGACAAGCATAGGAAATTATAAGAGTATTGATTGGGGAAGTGATAATGTCCATGAAATCTTCACAATTTATGTTCTTCTGTCACCCCTTCAGCAGGTCCCTCCGTTCAGGGTCCCTGACTTCCTACAACACCTTCCTTCCTTCATTTCCTTCCTTCCTTATTTCCATCCTTCCTTCTTTCTTCCAACAGATACATATTAATTGATTATCATATGCCAGAGCATATGTTAGCATAGTTTTTGTGTCTACTGCTTGAACAATATTTCAACAATTATACTTTCCTCCTAAACCCCACCACAAGTTTTGCTTTCTAAGTAACTAGAGAAAATGTTAGCAATTGTTAGGGATGTTGCTAAACAAGGGAGACTCCTGGAGGCATGTGATATATAGTGAGACCTGTCCCTACAACCTTGTCTTTCAATATCCCTCATTTCAAAAACTGAGCTTGTAACTTTTTTCAATAATAAATAGAAATATTACAAAGACATGAAAAATCTGTTTCTAAATTACAACATACAGTAAAAACTTTTTATTTCAGAATTAGTATTATAAAATTTGAAGGATAAAAGCATCAAATCCAAATTCAACATACTAATTAAGAAAATTTTCTCCTGACTTAGATTTGGTTCTGTTTTATAAGTACATGTTCAGCTGGGAAGCAAAAAAAAAAAAAAAGAAAATTCCTTTATTTTCATTTTAAATTTTAATAGCAGCCTAAATCTTATCGAAGTCAATTATTTAAGGTTGGTTTTAAAAGTCAAAAATTTCACAGTGTTTTTTCCTCCAATAGCTCATACAGTAGATTGATTAATTTTATACCCGTTATTAAAAATGATACTCCTAAATACAGAGGGAGTTGAAAATCAATAATGTCATGTCTCTTTGTACTCATTTTGTGTACTGGGTGCAGCCTAATTTTTGATGAATGCATGTAAATGAGCATGATCTTTAAAAAAAATTTCTAAAGTTTTAGAAGTAATATTAAAATAGAGCTCCTCTATGTCAAGTAAGAAAGCAAGGCTTTTTCTACTATTCCTAAATATTTGCAATCCTTATTTTTAACAGCTTTGAAAGTTTTCTAATTACAAACTCAGATGTAGGTCCAAATGTCATTCAAATATTTCAATGAAATCGTAAATCTTTATATTCTGAAACTTTGTATGGGAAATTGTGGACAGTATGCTATTTGCCTGATATTATTTTGTCTGCCTCTGTGCCTTATAACTGATCTGTGATTCCCAGCGACCTAGATATACTCAACAAGCTCATCACATGACTCTTAATGACTCAAATGTTTATCTGTTTTTAAGTCACTTAATCATTTTCACCTAGAGAAATGCATAAGTAAGACATATCTAATTTGGGAACTATTTTTACTCAGTGGAAGGAAAGAAAGAACAGAGAAAAGAAACATGTTTAGTGAAATTCTTTATGTATCATTCTTCAAGTGCATGCATTCTTTATGTATTATTAATTCTATTACACAAATAATGAGAATTTGGTGTCAGAAAGGTCAAATAATTTTCTCAAATTATAATGACTTCAAAAATTACTCATCATCAGAATTTTTTATAGTATTTGTAATTAGTAGCATGATGTAACTCTTTTGAAAATGATTTGGAATTTGCTTATAGAGTTATAAACATGTACACATCTAATACACCAATTCCACTTTTTTGTACTTTCCCAAAAGAATTGAAAACATAGGTACACATACAATTGAATAACAATATTTTTAACAACTTTACTCATAACGTTAACAACTTCAAAATTATTCTAACCACCAACAAGAGAATGGCTTAAAAACAGAGAATGTTTATACAAATATAATTCTACTCAGCAATAGAAAGAAACAAACTAATGATATATGCAATAATGTGGATTAATCTCAAGAATATTATGCTGAGTATAAGAAGTCGTACTGTATGAGTCCATTTGTACAAATTTCTAAATCATAGTTTATCTATATAGATAAAGTCTATAGAGTGAAATAAATTAAAACCGTGAGTGCCTCAGCAGCACAGGAAAAGGGAGAAGCCATGGCCTGGGAAGCAGCATAAACTTCAGAGGTGAGACAAATGATCTATATCTTAATCTAAGTAGTGGTTTTATGGTTGTGTACATAGGCTAATATTCATCACGCTGTCACACTTAATAGATGTGCATTTCACTCCATGTATACTATCCTGTGACTTTTAATATGCCTTGCTTAAAAAATGCTCTTTCAAAGCACAGCATATCAAACATGATTTTGCATCTAACACAGGCTAATATACTTTTGTTTGTGTACTTATTTGCACTTTACAAAATTTTTTATTTTACCTTTTCATTGTTTTTTGGAAAAGGTAGAGTATTCAAACCATGTAAAAGGTATCAGAGTACCATCATGTTTCTAGACTTGTCTCTGTCATCCAATCCACTTCCCAAAGACATCAATTGTTATTAACTTCTCCTGTACAGTTCAGGAGATAATTTTTGCATTTAGAGATATATGCATACATATGTTCCCTCCTTAAATATAAGGGGTGTTCTCCTACATCTATTATTTGTACTTCACTCTTTTAATATAGGTAGGAGAGACTTTCATTTCATTACATACAGCACATAACAATTAAAAATATCCCTTAAGCCTCGGCTGAGTTTGGTAGCTCAGTTGCAATACTTTCTGAAGTTAGTTCAGAAAAGGTCATTTATCTTTCAGCTGGATTACTTTTGGGAAAGCCAGGTGTCATAATCAGATGTCCCACTATGTTGAGAATACCATGCTAGAGAAGCACCTAATATTAGGACCTCCTGTCAACAGCCCAAATGAGCTCCACCTGATATCCAGCATCAATATGCCACTGTCCTTCTCAGGTGTCTAGCCCAGTGGAGCTTTCAGATGACTGCAGCCCTGCTGGCCACTAACTGCATTTGCATGAGGGACCTCAAGTAAGACTAGCCCCAACAAATCCCTTCCTGAATTCCTAAGCCTGAAAAACTGTGAGCAAAATATATTTGTTGTTTACAATATGCAGATTTGTGGTAGTCTATTAAACACCATATTGATGTCTGTTTAATATATGTACGCTGTATAGAGTCACCCCTCTGTACCTGTAAGGGACTGGTTTCAGGACTCCTGTGGTTATCAAAATCAGCAGATGCTCAAGTCCCTTACAGTCACCCTTCATATCTATCTGCAGTTGCAGAACCTCTGGACATGGAGGGTGTACTGTATATGTATAATGTATTGATAATATTTACACTGGCTTTTTGTGTGAAATAGAAAACACAAAAACACTGAGAAAGTATTTATCTATTCCTACTTTATTGAGGGTGTGTGTGTGTGTGTGTATGTGCTTGTGTGTGTGAGAGAGAGAGCCAGAGAGAGCATGCATGCATTCGTGTTGACTTAGGAATCTTCCCACCAGACCAAGAATTTTTTTAATTATATATTTCAAATGGTACCTTCATAGGCTCCCCATCTGTTCCAATCCTAAGGACCCTGTAATCAATTAGCTTCCTCCACAATTCTCTGCTGGTCTAATCACTCTGATTATTGATCTGTCCCTGTGGACTGGCTATGTTGATTTCATCCACCATTTATTCTACTGGGCTCTTAGAAGGTTAAGTGCTAACAACTGGCTTCTACTGCTCAAAATGCTTATTATTTCCATTGAAAGCAGGGATCCCAATTCCACTGAAACATCTTCCATAATCATTTCTTATTAGAAAGAATGAAAACCCAGAGATTCTCAGAAGTGCTGGTGTTCTTTCCTTTTCCCCATTACTTAACACATTTCTTAGTTTCTTCAGCATTTCTTAATGCTGAGGGGTATGGATTCCAGACCCTTCTGTGGAGTATGATCGAGTAAAGAATGCCTGACCACAAATTGGGCCTTCATTATTGAGTCAAACATCAATTATCTAGCATAGAGACTATTAATGTCACTCACAATTTTTTATCCAATGCATTAAATCAAATATCATTAAGACAAGGCTTTACTTCCTCTTTGTTAGTCTAATATCCCTAAAATCTACTATTCCACATGGAACCCCATCTCCTGCCAACAAAAATTGGTAAGAGTCTGCAACTCTTTCAATATATAGACACCTTCTGGGCCAGGTTGGTAGTTCTCTATCTGGGCTTTGAGAAACATTAATTTAAATAGTGGCTGGGAGACAATGAGTAGGTACTACAGAGAACTGTCATCCCTTTGTGAGACAACTGCTCTAGTCAAAGTCATTAGAATGCATTTATGCAAGGAAAAACTCAGATGTGAGACAGGCACTGCTCTTCTCCACAAGTAGTATTCAGGGATAATTGGGGATTCTCAGCCTTATCTGGGTCCACTCAAGTGTCTCATTTTTATTTTTCAAAGACCCATTACTTTTCAAATATGTAAGTATTCCAGTTACTAAATGACATTTTTAGGATCTATGTCCAAAATTACATCTGGCATAAAATATAGAATCATTGGATATTGAATAGGAAAACAAAGATGGAATACTCAAATAGACACGGATGAAATATTTACAAGGGTATGGGCAGGGTTTAGCAGAATTGACAAGAATAACTGAAGCAACCCAGGACTAGCAAGAGCACTTCTATGCCTGAAGAAAGAGGGGGCCTTGGAGGTATGGACTTCGTGGCAGAAGCTGCAGCTTTAACATATTGAAATTGCCACGCAATCTGTTAGGGAGCAGGGTGGGATAATAAATACTATAATGTCTTCCCATTCCTTCTATTAGATGCCCTACTATTCCCTGTCATTGGCCAAAACTTATCATAGAAGGCCCAGGTGTCCTGTTGATGCAGACCCAAAGTATCAGCCTCCCAAGAAACAAAGTTGGTGAGAAAGAGGGGAGGGGCCAAATGGAGAATATGTAGCATCGCTATAGGCTGTCTCCTTTGCCTCTCTGACAATGGGTCCAGGCAAGTCTTTGCCATTGATTGACACAACCACATTATTTTTTGGCTGCAAATGAGGAATTTACGATTTTTAGATCATAGTGTGCTGCTCATCCCTAATTAAAGTTATAATGGGTCTTCCATTATGAATTATTTTTGTGGATAATTTTTCTGTCTTTGCTTTCCTCTTTTCTGTATGCTTCATGATCTATCTCTGCCGCTTTTGGCAGCCATAACCCTCTTTGGGGGCTGCAATTTAGCTGGTTCCTAAATTTGTTTCTTATCTTTCTTGTTGCTATGAAGTAAAGAGAAAAACGCTAACTTTTTACCACTATATTCAGGCTGGATGTGCTCCCATTAAATGCTTTTGTAAACTTGAAAAACAATTGTAATCATGTAGGCTTTTGATCTACATTCTGTATATGAAGAAACTAAGAACCAGAGAGATTGAATAGGACTCAAGTTCATAAAATGGTCAGTTTAAGTCCAGTGTTTTTATTATGTGATCTCTTAACACATATTATTGTCACCTTCTTGCTGTAAATGCCCTACAGTACAAAACAGTTAGTTAATTTACCTAAGGTCACACCTAGTAAGTGACAGAGTAAAAATCAGAAAAAATAGCATTATATTTCTATAAATTAACCTAGTGCTAGTACTATTCATAGTACTTGTTTTCTAGATTTTTCTTTGTTGGATACTCTTTGGTCAAAATCATATATAGCAGTAATTTTCATTGTGATATAAATGAGATTTTGATGATTAAAAATTCTCATAATTTTCATTTTTGACTGCAAGTAAGAAAATTATGTTCCATCTATGCAAATTTTTTTATAATCAATAGTTTGAAAATATATACAAAATTAATGAAAAGGCCCACACAAAAGCAGTTCAAATATATGTTTAAATTGTCAAAATATTTAATAAAGCTACACAAACATGTAATCATATTTATATGTTGCATATTGCTGTGTTTATACATATGTTACAATTATATCATATTTAGACCCCTGTTGTGATGACAGTGGCAATTGTTTATGATATTTCATTTGGAACCACCAGACTTTGTCAAGATAAATTGTGCCAGGTACACCAATAAATAATCACTATATTAAGAGGAATAAATCTTGTATATTTCACATACAGGCATACTCACGGTTTTTAGTTCTGTCGTAAATATAAAGGAATTCTAATTAATTCCATTTGATTCCTATATAAAAGCATCACTGTATAGTGCACATATAGATGCATACACATATACAATGTTGCATTATCAAATATATTTCCAGACAACTTCACTGTTGATCATATGTCTTTGAGAACTTAATCCTGATGTTTAGAAGAATGTTTTTAACACACTAGTTTCCAGGACGGTACACTTTAATCAACCATTTCCATCTACTTCCAGTACCAAGTGACCACAATTCTTCCTAATGACTTCTTTCTCTGCCCTACTCTGTCATGACTTTACATGAGTCAGCGCAGTGGGTTTGCAGGAAGATCTCTGGAAGGCATTTCTAAATCAGGACAGTGAGCAATGACTATATACTTAAGTGACTATAAATTCTAGCTAAACATATCCACAACTCAACTTCTCCTTAGCTCAATCTAAAAATATATTTGCAGGCATTCCAATGCCACCCAACATGACAGGAAGCATGATAAAAAGGAAACTGTAGTAGAAAGAGACTATAGTTTTAATAGTATCTTACTACCCCCTAAAAATACGTGTCCATTTGAAAGTCTTGCTAGGGCAGTTCCTGGACCTATGAAGGGGCCCATACAATAAACATTTTAGAATTATAGACTTCATTAACTTCAAGGTAAACTATTTCTGGCACTTCGATCAATTAATACCCCTATAGAGTGATAGTCTAATGGAGGCCAGAGGTATTCATTCAAAACAGTTTTATATGACTTGGCTGCCAACCTTACCAGCAAAAATGATATTACCATACCTAAGTATATAACATATAATAATATAAAATGCATATCAATATGTATATACATATTTACCTGTTATTTTTCTTGAATTTTAGTTTGTATTAAACACAATTTATTAATTGCATTTAGTTTAAATCAAATATGGTGCATGTGAATATCCAGTCATGATATCACAATTATCTTTCTAGAAATTCATTTATTTTAATAGAAATACTGTATATAAAATTCATATTTGACTCTATCTTCTGAATGCTAGGGAAAAGTAGTGGTAAATTGTCTTCTAAGTAAATGTAAAGCCCGGCCATAAATACTACTTGTTCTTCATGCAGAAAGTATCTTGCATATTATTTTCCTCTCTAAATTACTTTCAGACTCCCATTTTACAATTCGTGGACCACATTACTCTGCTAACTAAAACTAAAAATATTTTGAGATATAGTCAAAATAAGATAAGAAAACAGTAATATATTGCATCAGATTTTTCAATATTCCTTCTGTTAACTATGTACCACATTAAAATGTCAGTAAATAAAACAGCCCAATGCAAGAATTCATATAAACTGGCAACAAAAAATACTTTCAAATCTGATAAATTTGTATTTAATTATTTATTTATAAGCTAGTTTCCTACATCAAAGTGTACACTCTTCAACAACCCAAATACCCCCAATGCATCAGTTAGTACTGTGCCCACTCTTGTCAAACTTTTCATTCTTTGCCATCCTTTTTTTCCTTTTCCTTCTAGTGTGCCTTAATTCATTCAAGCTATATTTAGTGGGTTACAACTATATGCTGAGCACACTTCTGGATTTCAATTGATGCTATGTACTGCCTACCATAGAGTAGCCCTTTATTTGTCAAGTCAATAAAAATTAAGATGTATAGTTTCTTTTTGCATAAGAACACACTGACCCAGTGTCCTCCTGATGGATAGTTTGCATGATGCTATCAGAATTATCCTCCTATTTATTGAATTATTTTTGTTTTGATGGGGAACCTGTGAATAATGTGAAACAATCCGCAGTCTGGCTTGTTTCCTGATTAAAAGCAATGGTTAAAAAAGCTTGGAAAAATAAAAAGAAAGTATTTCTCCAGGTCAGAACACACAAAAATGTGGAAAATGCCTGGCTGAGCCATGAATGCAGTGCTTAATCAAATCTCACCTTCATTCCACCTCACTTTTGAGATGGCCTAGTTTACCCTCATGTACATAATCATCAATGTACTATTTTTTTTATTTTACTATTAAGAAGATATTAGGAAAAATAAAAATCACTAATATTTGGAAGAAAATATGTCTCAGGACAAAAAAACAGATGCATTAATGAGTAAATAAGTAGAAGAAGAAAAATATTTAGGGCATTAGGAAGCCATTAAGACAGTACACATCCCAGAATTGGCAGATGAAAATAATCCTAGATATGTTACTCATTTCAAGATAAGGACATTTGTATTTCTATCTGCAAGCTTTTTAAATAGATAATTTTGCTAGAATTTTCTAATTCTTTCAGGGTCTAAGCAGCTAGAGTTATTCGTCTTTTCAATGACAGTGACCAAGAAAACCAATCTTTATTACTGAAATATTCATCATCATAAACATGGCATACTTTCTTTAGTGTGATAACGAGTCACAAAGCATACCAATAGGCAACTGATTTAATAGGAATGATTAATGTAGCATCTGGTTAAAGGATCTAAGAACATATTTCTAGCATACTGGAAAACAACCTTTAAAAATACGTGTATTCACTTCATTGGAATAAAGTTTACTCTGTATATGTCAGATTTCCCACTGTGAAACATGATTTAAAGTTAATTCAGATTATATAATCTTGTGAAAGTAAACTAAAATGTCATTAGTAATCTGGGAATTAATGATCAGACTTGATAAATGATCCATATGTCTCAGATTGAAGAAATGTTAACTAAAAAGAATAAACAAACTTTACATGTATGTAAGACATTTTTGTTGTATACAAATTCCTTTTCTACATAAGACCTCATGTCAAATCAGACTTAAGTATAACTTGATATTCCAGGTGATGAAACAGTTTTATCAAGACATTTTGCCTGCCTAAATTCCCACTGAGTGACAGAACTAGAATTCAAGCTTTTTTGATTTCCTATTAGGGTGTCGTTTCTTTGTTATTATGAAGGATATCATAAACTAATAAAATGAATGCCAGTGTTCTAGGATTGAACACAAGAAAAACAAAAACAAAATGAGTAAGTACAGTAATTTAAATGACTTTGGAAATTGTGATCCTGTAGTCGTAAAATCTTAAACAACAATAATAATTAGTTTTCATCTTAGCATCTAATATGACAGAATATATTTATACATATTGAGTAAAAAATGTAAAAATATATTCAAGTTTTTTAATAACTTGATTAAGAAATCGTAAATATCTTTGAGTATAATATAGAGACAAGGGTTATGCAACCATTTTTTTGTGTGTTCTTTTTATTTATTTATTTTTTGATGTTGTTTTAAAGAGTCATTGACATAAAATCTATAAGAAAGCCTTTCTGTGCCCGTCATGGTAACAGACAAGAAACCAATCACAGTTCTGAATAAAACGTAGGCTGGTCTTGAAAACCTGGCTGGTATAAATAGGAACCCTGATGATTTTGAAACCCATTGCTCTCTTAGTGAATAATCCATATCGAATACAGGTATATAAAAAGTAAATTTAGCAAAGTTTACATAAATCATACTCATAATATTGAAATTTTTGCAGTTATCGATATGTATGTATGTATGTATGTATGTATGTATGTATGTATTTGAGATGGAGTCTGGCTATGTCACTGCAGCTGGAGTGCAGTAGCATGACGTCGGCTCACTGCAACTTCCACCTCCCAGGTTGAAGCAATTCTCATGCCTCAGCCTCCTGTGCAGTAATTGATATTTAAAGTATTTGTAAAGTTTAAGAAAATTTAGAGATTCAAGATGGCTGACTACAGGCAGCCAGGAGGAACATCTGCCATCAAGAGACCAAGAAATCGGGAAGACTGGCACACTCTGAGCAGATCTTTGGAGGGAAGGCACTGAGGGTAGACAGAAGGAGGACACAGACCCAGGGCAAAGGGGGGAAGCTGGGGATCCTGCACTGGGCTATCACACACTGGTACTCTTTCCTGGCCTTCAGTATCTCCTGGGGAAGGGGTGAGCTGAACTGGTAAGGAGCAGCCTGCTCTTGCCACAGACCTCTGAGATTCTGGCAGCAGGAAACCACATGATCTCCATGGACACTTGAGCTGGCAAGGAGAGCTGTTTAGAGAGCTAGTAGGAGCAATACTTGAGCCTGTGCAAAGCCCAGAGGATTTGGTGCAAGAACATCTGCAGTGGAGAATGGCCAGGGAGGCTGTTTCCCAAAGGGTCATCCCCCAAGGCTAACCACGCTCCTCTAGGAGACTGTAGCTTTAGGGAGACTGTTGGACGTAGACAGAGTAAGGCAGTCTTGGGAAGGGGCCAATCCAATCTGAGCACTCCCACATCTGCTAGCTTCTCCTGGGGCCCCAGCCTGGCCTTGCCCACTTGTAGTGCAACCTCAGATACCCAAGTAGGGTCTTCCTGGGGCCCTTATCACGGCTCCTTTGCCAGCAGACTGCACCTGACCACCAAAGAGCTCCAGCAGAGCAGCCTGTGCTGATACACACCAGCCCACTTACACCTGACACCACAGCCCCCCCAACGCTGCTTTGCTGGCACACACTTCCTCATGACCACTCCTCCACTGCTTTACCAACATGTGCAGGCAGGTGAACCTCAGCCCCATCCCCCACTAGCAGGTATGTATGTGCACGCACACAGCCATACCACTGCAGGCAGTGTGAGTGCACTCCACACCCCACCCTATGCTGTCCTTGCCAGTGCAAACATGTGCTTGGTAGCCAGCAGTCCTTTGTCTACCAGTGCCCTGCCCCTGCCACCACCACCACCAGTGTAAGCACATGCAGGAGTGCAACACCACCACTCCCACTGTGACCCCACCTTAGCCAAGGAACATGCACCTTGCTATACCACCACTGCTTCTAGCACAAATAAACAAGCACAGATCCCACTGCCACCACTCCAAAGAAGTGCTTTGCCTGGCACCACCCATCAGTGTGCTGTGTCCAGCAGTCTAGAAAGACCTTCGACCCTCCAGTGCATCAGGTTCCTAACCTCAAGGGTCCAGAGAACAAAGCTAGTGGCCCGATACCAACTCCCCACAATGGAAGTACGAATCCCAGTGGTGTTGAGCTGAGACTTGGTCTCCTAAAATGTTTCATAAATGAAGCCAGTTGACTGAACCCATCTTATAAAACAATCAACCTCCTAAAGGTATCAAAGAAGATAAGAGAAAAAAAAAATCCAAAGACAGCAACTTAAAAGACTGAAAGAACATATACCCACACAGATGAAAAAGAACAAGCACAAGAACTCTGGCAACTCAAAAAGCCAGAGTATCTCCTTACTTCCAAATGGCCACCCTAGTTTCCCAGTGATGGTTCTCAACTAGGCTGAAATGACAGAAATAGAATCCAGAATATGAACAGAAACAAAGATCATTGAGATTCCAGAGAATGCCAAAACCCAATCCAAAGTCTCTAAGGAATACAATAAAATGATGCAGGACAAGAAAGGTGAAATGGCCATTTTAAGAAAGAATTGAACCGATCTTATAGAGAGGAAAAAAAAAATCACTTCATGAATTTCAGAATACAAGATCAAGCTGAGGAAAGAATCTTAGAGATCTAAGACTGGTTCTCTGAAATAACTTACACAAAAATAAAGAAAAAAAGACTAAAAAAGAATGACCAAAACCTCTGAGAAATATAGGATTAGGTAAAAAGACCAACTCTATCACTCATTGACATCCCTGAAAGAGACAGAGAGAAAGCAAGCTACTTGGAAAACATATTTCAGGATATTGTTCATGAAAATTTCCCCAACCTCACTAGACAGGCCAACTTTTAAATTCAGGAAATGCAAAGAACTCCTGCAAGATACTATACAAAATTATCATACTGAAGACTCGTAGTCATCAGGTTCTCCAAGCTCAAAAGGAAAGAGAAAACGTTAAAGACAGCTAGAGAGAAGGGGCAGGTCATCTACAAAGGAAACTCCACCAGGTTAACAGTGGACCTTTCACCAGAAACCCTGTAAGTCAGAAGAAACTGGGGGTCTATATTCAGCATTCATAAATGAATTAAATTTCAACCAAGAATTTCATGTCCAGACAAGCTAAGCTTCATAAATAAAGGAGAAATCAGATCTTTTTCAGATGAGAAAATGCTAAAGGAATTCTTTAGCACAAGACCTGCCTTATGAGAGGTTTTCAGGGAATGTAAAATATGGAAGGGGAAAAACTGTTACCAGCCACCACAAAAAACACATTTATGTACATAGACCATTGACACTATAAAGCAACCACAGTCTGCATAATAACCACCTAAAAAGCTGAAGACAGAATCAAATCCATATATATTAATATTATCTTGAATGTATTCAAGATAATAATACACCTTTTTAAATGCCCCAGTTAAAAGGCACAGAGTGGCAGGTTGGATAAAGAAGCAAAACACGACTTTATGCTGTGTTCAAGAGAACTATTCATGTGCGAGGACACACATAGGCACAAAGTAAAGCGATGGAGAAAAATCTACCAAGCAAATGGTAACAGAAAAAAGCAGGGTTGCCATTCTAATTTCAGACAAAACAAACTTTAAGCCAACAATTATCTAAAAGACAGAGAAATGCATTACATGATGGTAAAGTATTCAATTCAAGAAGAGGACATAATTATCCTAAATATATATACACCCAACACAGGACCACCCAGATTCCTAAAACAAGTTCATAGAGATCTACAAATAAACTCAGATGACTGCACAATAATAGTGGGAGATTTTAACAATCCACTGACAGTATTAGATAGATCATCTAGGGAGAAAACTAACAAAGATATTCAGGGAGAAAACTAACAAAGATATTCAGGGAGAAAACTGAACAAAGATTCAGGATCTGACCTCAACACTCGACCATATAGACCTAATAGACATCTACAGAACTCTCCACCTGAAACAACAGAATATACACTCTTCTTATTGCCCCATGGTATGTGCTCTACAATCGACCACACAATCAGCTATAAAACAATCCTCAGCAAATTGAAAGAAACCAAAATCATACCAACCACACTCTCAGATCACAGTGGAAAAAAAAATAGAAACCAATACTAACAAAATTTCTCAAAACCACACAATTACATGAAAATTAAGCTCCCTGCTCCTGAATGACTTTTGGGTAAACACAGAAATTAAGGCAGAAATCAAGAGAAAGTAATGACAAGAAAGATACGACAGAACCAGAATCTCTAGGACACAGCTGAAGCAGTATGGAGAGGGACATGTAAAACACTACATGCCCAAATAGAAAAGGAAGAAAGATCTCAAATTAACAACCTTAACATCACAATTAGTGGAACTAGAGAAGCAAGAACAAACCAACCCCAAAGCTAGTGGAAGACAAGAAACAACCAAAATCAGAGCTGAACTGAAGGACGTTGGGACACACAAAAACCATATAAAAGATCAAGTCCATGAGTTTGTTTTTTGAAAGAGTAAGTTAGATAAATAGGCTGCTAGCTAGACAAATATATAAAAGAAGAGAAGACCCAAATAAACACAATCAGAAATGACAAGAAGGAGGTTACCACAGACAGTGCAGAATTACAAAAACCCTCAGAGACAACTACAAACAACTTTATGAACATAAGCTAGAAAATCTAGAATAAATGGATAAATTCCTGGAAACATACAACCTGCCAAGATTGAACCAGGAAGAAACTGAATCCCTGAACAGACCAATAATGGCTTCCAAAATTGAATCAGGAATAAAAAGCCTACCAACCAGAAAAAGCTCAGGACCGGATGGATTAACTGAAACATTCTACCAGATATATATGAAGAAGAGCTGGTACCATTCCTTCTGAAATTTTCCCAAAATATTGAGAAGAGACTCCTCCCTATCCTTTCTAACTCATTCTTTGAAGCCAGCATCATCGTGGTACCAAAATCTGTCAGAGACCTACATAATAAAGAAAACTTCAGGCCAATATCCTTGATGAGCATAGATGCAAAAATTCTCAACAAAATATTAGCAAACCAAATACAGCAACACATCAAAAAGCTAATCTATCACGATCAAGTAGGCTTTATTTCTTGGCATCAAGTTTGGTTTAACCTACACAAACCAATAACGTAACTCATCACATAAACACAACTAAAAACAAGAACCACATGATCATTTCAATAAATGTCTAAAAAGCTTTAGATAAAATTCAACATTTCTTCAAGTTCAAAACCCTCAAAAACTGGCATTGAAGAAACATACTTCAAAATATTAACAGCCATTTATGACAAACTCACAGCCAACATAATACTGAATAGTCAAAAGCTGGAAGCATTCTCCTTGAGAACCAGAATATGACAAGAATGCTCACTGTCACCACTCCTATTCAACATAGTCCTGGAAGTCCTAGACAGAGCAATTAGGCAAGAGAAAGAAACAAAAAGTATTCAAGTAGGAGGAGAGAAATTCAAACTATTTCTATTTTCAGATAATATGATTTTATACCTAGAAAACCCCACAGTATCAGCCCAAAAGTTCTTTGATCTGATAAGCCACTCCAGCAAAGTTTTAAGATAAAATATTAATGTGCAAAAGTCAGTTGCATTTCTATACACCAACAACACCCAGGCTGAAAGCCAAATCAAGAACACAATGCTATTCCCAGTAGCCACAAAAGAAATAAAATACCTAGGAACACAGTGAATCATGAAGGGGAAAGATCTCTACAATGAGAATTACAAAACGTAAAACATTTCATGCTTATGGATAGGAAAAATCAATATTGTTAAAATAGCCATATGGCCCAAAGCAGTTTACCGATTCTATGCTATTCTTACCAAACTACCAAAGACATTCTTCACAGAATTAGAAAAGGCTATTTTAAAGTCCATATGGAACCAAAACAAACAAACAAACAAAAAGCCTGAATATTCAAGGCAATTCTAAGCAAAAAGAACTAGGCTGAAGGCATTATATTACCCTACATCAAACTATACCACACAGTTACTGTCAGGCCTCTGAGCCCAAGCTAAGCCATCATATCCCCTGTGACCTGCATGTACACATCCAGATGGCCGGTTCCTGCCTTAACTGATGACATTCCACCACAAAAGAAGTGCAAATGGCCTGTTCCTGCCTTAACTGATGACATTGTCTTGTGAAATTCCTTCTCCTGGCTCATCCTGGCTCAAAAGCTCCCCTACTGAGCATCTTGTGACCCCCGACTCTGCCCGCCAGAGAACAACCCCCCTTTGTAATTTTCCTTTACCTACCCAAATCCTATAAAACGGCCCCACCCCATCTCCCTTCCCTGACTCTCTTTTCGGACTCAGCCCGCCTGCACCCAGGTGAAATAAACAGCCATGTTGCTCACACAAAGCCTGTTTGGTGGTCTCTTCACACAGACGTGTATGAAATTTGGTGCCGTGACTTGGATTGGGGGACCTCCCTTGGGAGATCAATCCCCCGTCCTCCTGCTCTTTGCTCTGTGAGAAAGATCCACCTATGCCTCAGGTCCTCAGACTGACCAGCCCAAGAAACATCTCACCAATTTCAAATCGGGTAAGCCCCCTCTTCTTACTCTCTTCTGCAACCTCTCTCACTGTTTCTCAGCCTCTTTCTCCTTTCCACTCTTCAATCTCTCCCTTCTTTTAATTTCAATTCCTTTCATTTTCTGGTAGAGACAAAGGAGACACATTTTATTGGTGGACCCAGAACTCCGGCGCTGGTCATTGACTGGGAAGGCAGCCTTCCCTTGGTGTTTAATTATTGCAGGGATGCCTCTTTGATTATTCACCCAGGTTTCAGAGGTGTCAGACCACGCAGGGACGCCTGCCTTGGTCCTTCACCCTTAGTGGCAAGTCCCACTTTTCTGGGGAAGGGGCAAGTACCCCAACCCCTTCTCTCCGTGTCTCTACCCCTTCTCCACCTTTCTGGGGGGCAAGAAACCCCCAACCCCTTCTCCTTCACCCTTAGTGACAAGTCCCGCTTTTCTGGGGGAGGAGCAAATACCCCAACCTTGTATCTCTGCACCCCAATCCCTTATTTCCATGCCCCGACCTCTTATCTCGGTGCCCCAACCCCTTATTTCCACACCCCAACCCCTTTCCCGCTTTTGTGGAGGGCAAGAACCCCCCACCCCTTCTCCGTGTCTCTATTCTTTTCTCTGGGCTTGCCTCCCTCACTATGGGCAAGCTTCCACCTTCCATTCCTCCTTCTTCTCCCTTAGCCTGTGTTCTTAAGAACTTAAAACCTCTTCAACTATCACCTGACCTAAAATCTTAAGTGTCTTATTTTCTTCTGCAATGCCACTTGACCCCAATACAAACTCGATAGTAGTTCCAAATAGCCAGAAAATGGCACTTTCAATTTTTCCATCCTACAAGATCTAAATAATTCTTGTCATAAAATGGGCAAATGGTCTGAGGTGCCTGACGTCCAGGCATTCTTTTACACATCGGTCCCTTCCTAGTCTCTGTGCCCAATGCAACTCGTCCCAAATCTTCCTTCTTTCCCTCCCACCTGTCCCCTCAGTCCCAATCCCAAGCGTCACTGAGTCTTTCTAATCTTCCTTTTCTACAGACCTATCTGACCTCTCCCCTCCTGGCCAGGCCGAGCTAGGTCCCAATTCTTCCTCAGCCTCAGCTCCTCCACCCTATAATCCTTTTATCACCTCCCCTCCTCACACCCAGTCAGGCTTACAGTTTCCTTCCATGACTAGCCCTCCCCCACCTGCCCAGCAATTTACTCTTAAAAAGGTGGCTGGAGCTAAAGGCATAGTCAAGGTTAATGCTCCTTTTTCTTTATCCCAAATCAGATAGCATTTAGGCTCTTTTTCATCAAATATAAAAATCCAGCCCAGTTCATGACTTGTTTGGCAGCAACCCTGAGACACTTTACAGCTCTAGACCCTAAAATGTCAAAAGGCCGTCTTATTCTCAAAATACATTTTATTACCCAATCTGCTCCCGACATTAAATAAAACTCCAAAAATTAAATTCCGGCCCTCAAACCCCACAACAGGATTTAATTAGCCTCACCTTCAAGGTGTACAATAATAGAAAACAGTTGCAATTCCTTGCCTCCACTGTGAGACAAACCCCAGCCACATCTCCAGCACACAAGAACTTCCAAACACCTGAACCGCAGCAGCCAGGCATTCCTCCAGAACCTCCTCCCCCAGTAGCTTGCTACAAGTGCCAGAAATCTGGCCACCAGGCCAAGGAATACCTGCAGCCCAGGATTCCTCCTAAGCCACGTCCCATCTGTGCGGGACCCCACTGGAAATCGGACTGTCCAACTCACCTGGCAGCCACTCCCAGAGCCCCTGGAACTCTGGCCCAAGGCTCTGACTCCTTCCTGGGTCTTCTTGGCTTAGCAGCTGAAGACTGATGGTGGCTGATGGCCTCGGAAGCCCCCTAGACCATCACGGATGCCAAGCTTCCAGTAACTCTCACAGTGGAGGGTAAGTCTGTCCCCTTCTTAATCAATACGGAGGCTACCCACTCCACATTACCTTCTTTTCAAGGGCCTGTTTCCCTTGCCTCCATAACTGTTGTGGTTACTGACGGCCAGGCTTCTAAACCTCTTAAAACTCCCCAACTCTGGTGCCAACTTGGACAACACTCTTTTATGCACTCTTTTTTAGTTATCCCCACCTGCCCAGTTCCCTTATTAGGCCGAGACACTTTAACCAAATTATCTGCTTCCCTGACTATTCCTGGACTACAGCTGCATCTCATTGCCACCCTTCTCCCCAACCCAAAGCCTCCTTCGCGTCTTCCTCTCGTATCCCCCCACCTTAACACACAAGTATGGGACATCTCTACTCCTTCCCTGGCAAGGATCACATGCCCATTACCATCCCATTAAAACCTAATCACCCTTACCCCGCTCAATGCCAATATCCCATCCCACAGCACGCTTTAAAAGGATTAAAGCCCGTTATCACTCGCCTGCTACAGCATGGGCTTCTAAAACCTATAAACTCTCCTTACAATTCCCCCATTTTACCTGTCCAAAAACTGGACAAGTCTTACAGATTAGTTCAGGATCTGCGCCTTATCAACCAAATTGTTTTGCCTATCCATCCTGTGGTGCCCAACCCGTACACTCTTTTGTCCTCAATACCTTCCTCCACAACTCACTATTCCGTTCTCGATCTTAAAGATGCTTTTTTCACTATTCCCCTGCACCCCTCATCCCAGCCTCTCTTTGCTTTCACTTAGACTGACCCTGACACCCATCAGGCTCAGCAAATTACCTGGGCTGTACTGCCGCAAGGCTTCACAGACAGCCCCCATTACTTCAGTCAAGCCGAAATTTCATCCTCATCTGTTACCTATCTCGGCATAATTCTCATAAAAACACACGTGCTTTCCCTGCTGATCATGTCCGATTAATCTCCCAAACCTCAATCCCTTACAAAACAACAACTCCTTTCCTTCCTAGGCATGGTTAGTGCAGTCAGAATTCTTACACAAGAGCCAAGACTGCACCCTGTAGCCTTTCTGTCCAAACAACTTGACCTTACTGTTTTAGCCTAGCCTTCGTGTCTCCGTGCAGCAGCTGCTGCCACTCTAATACTTTCAGAGGCCCTCAAAATCACAAACTATGCTCAACTCACTCTCTACATTTCTCATAACTTCCAAAATCTATTTTCTTCCTCATACCTGACACATATACTTTCTGTTCCCTGGCTCCTTCAGCTGTACTCACTCTTTGTTAAGTCCCACAATTACCATTGTTCCTGGCCCAGACTTCAGTCCGGCCTCCCACATTATTCTGGATACCACACCTGACCCTCATGACTGTATCTCTCTGATCCACCTGACATTCACCCCATTTCCGCATATTTCCTTCTTTCCTGCTCCTCACCCTGATCACGCTTGATTTATTAATGGCAGTTCCACCAGGCCTAATCGCCACACACCAGCAAAGGCAGGCTATGCTATAGTACAAGTCACTAGCCCGCCTCTTAAAACCTCTCATTTCCTTTCCATCGTGGAAATCTATCCTCAAGGAAATAACTTCTCAGTGTTCCATCTGCTATTCTACTACTCCTCAAGGATTATTCAGGCCCCCCTCCCTTCCCTACACATCAAGCTCGAGGATTTGCCCCCACCCAGGACTTGCAAATTAGCTTTACTCAACATGCCCCGAGTCAGATAACTAAAATACCTCTTAGTCTAGGTAGACACTTTCACTGGATAGGTAGAGTCCTTTCCTACAGGGTCTGAGAAGGCCACTGCAGTCATTTCTTCCCTTCTGTCAGACATAATTCCTCAGTTTAGCCTTCCCACCTCTATACAGTCTGATAGCAGACCAGCCTTTATTAGTCAAATCAGCCAAGCATTTTTTCAGGCTCTTAGTATTCAGTGAAACCTTTATATCCCTTACAGTCCTCAGTCTTCAGGAAAAGTAGAACAGACTAATGGTCTTTTAAAAACACACCTCACCAAGCTCAGCCACCAACTTAAAAAGGACTAGACAATACTTTTACCACTTTCCCTTCTCAGAAGTCAGACCTGTCCTCAGAATGCTACAGTGTACAGCCCATTTGAGGTCCTGTATAGATGCTCCTTTTTATTAGGCCCCAGTCTCA